>NC_000005.10:84049200-84352231 GCF_000001405.40 Homo sapiens
TATCAACACAACCTACAGTTTGCAATGATTTAACAATGTATTATTTTACATTTCATTATTTTATTGGAAATTCCATTTTGGAGGAATATATATGCAAATCTTCACTTTTGATTAAAATTGGTGGTGTCAAATTCTGTTCTCCTGAGGTACACAATCCACCAGAAAGGAAAAGAAGGGATCTATCCAATACTGAGTACCTACTGCATGCTTCCACTGTTCTGTTATTTGTTTTATTTAATCCACTTTAAGAGTCATCACAATTTCTGACTTCTTTGTTTGGAAACTACCTATGGAAGCTAATAGTCTTAACCTAAAAACATCTCTGTGAGTTAAATGTTACTTTATTTTTATAACAAAGATTAATATCTATCCTAACCATGAGTTAGGAATGTCCAATTAGGAGTATGGAATAATTGGCTCAGAATGTTCCAATTTCAACATTGGTAAGAATTTTGAAAGTTAAAAACTAAAATTTGACCTTTGGGAGGCTTTCAGATAACACATTGGTAAGCTTTATTGCTCAAAGTATTAGTTGAATTTTAAAGTTTTACAAACCATCATACACAGAGGTCTGAGAAATGCCTCTGTTTAGGGCTGCCTGAGGCCCTCACACATTTTTGCCATGTCCCGATAGAAATAGCATAACAATTTTATGATTAGCAGCAACTCAAGAAAGCTAACCAATTAGGTAGGATCACCTCTTAAAAAAAATCACACGGCCGGGCGCGGTGGCTCACGCCTGTAATCCCAGCACTTTGGGAGGCCGAGACGGGTGGATCATGAGGTCAGGAGATCGAGACCATCCTGGCTAACACGGTGAAACCCCGTCTCTACTAAAAATACAAAAATTAGCCGGGCATGGTGGCGCACGCCTGTAGTCCCAGCTACATGGGAGGCTGAGGCAGGAGAATGGTGTGAACCCGGGAGGCGGAGCTTGCAGTGAGTCGAGATGGCGCCACTGCACTCCAGCCTGGGCGACAGAGCGAAACTCCATCTCAAAAAAAAAAAAAAAAAAAAAAAAATCACACAAGAATATTTGCTTGAGAAGTTCCAGACATTTTGATCTTATAGAAGTGAGTAGATGAAACATTAGAGTAATAAAAACAATAGAATGTTAAAATGAGATTTGAGGCAGTTCCAACATGGCAGAATAGGAACAGCTCCAGTCTACAGCTCCCAGTGTGAGCGACACAGAAGACGAGTGATTTCTGCATTTCCAACTGAGGTACCAGGTTCATCTCACTGGGGAGTGTCAGACAGTGGGTACAGGACAGTGGGTGCAGTGCACTGAGCGTGAGCTGAAGCAGGGCGAGGCATCGCCTCACCTGGGAAGTGCAAGGGGTCAGGGAATTCCCTTTCATAGCCAAGCAAAGCTGTGACAGACGGCACCTGGAAAATCCGGTCACTCCCACCCTAATATTGTGCTTTTCCAGTGGTCTTAGCAAACGGCACACCAGGAGATTATATCCTGCGCCTGGCTCAGAGGGTCCCACGCCCACAGAGCCTCGCTCATTGCTAGCCCAGCAGCCTGAGATCAAACTGCAAGGCAGCAGTGAGGCTGGGGGAGGGGTGTTCCCCATTGCTGAGGCTTGAGAAGGTAAACAAAGCAGCCAGGAAGCTTGAACTGGGTGAAGCCCACCGCAGCTCAAGGAGGCCTGCCTGCCTCTGTAGACTCCACCTCTGGGGGCAGGGCATAGCCGAACAAAAGGCAGTAGAAACCTCTGCAGACCTAAATGTCCCTGTCTGACAGCTTTGAAGAGAGTAGTGGTTCTCCCAGCATGGACTTTGAGATCTGAGAACGGACAGACTGCTTCCTCAAGTGGGTTGCTGACCCCTGAGTAGCCTATCTGGGAGGCACCCCCCAGTAGGGGCAGACTGACACCTCACACAGCTGGGTACCCCTCTGAGACAAAACCTCCAGAGGAACGATCAGACAGCAACATTTGCTGTTCACCAATATCCACTGTTCTGCAGCCTCCGCTGCTGATACCCAGGCAAACAGGGTCTGGAGCAGACCTCCAGCAAACTCCAACAGACCTGCAGCTGAGGGTCCTGAATGTTAAAAGGAAAACTAACAAACAGAAAGGACATCCACACCAAAACCCCATATGTCACCATCATCAAAGACCAAAGGTAGATAAAACCACAAAGATGGGGAAAAAACAGAATAGAAAAATTGAAAATTCTAAAAATCAGAGCACCTCTCCTCCTGCAAAGGAACGCAGCTCCTCACCAGCAACGGAACAAAGCTGGACAGAGAACGACTTTGACGAGTTGAGAGAAGAAGGCTTCAGATGATCAAACTTCTCCGAACTAAAGGAGGAAGTTCGAACCCATTGCAAAGAAGCTAAAAACCTTGAAAAATGATTAAACAAATGGCTAACTAGAATAACCAATGCAAAGAAGTCCTTAAAGGACCTGATGGAGCTGAATACCATGGCATGAGAACTACGTGACAAATGCACAAGCTTCACTAGCCGATTTGATCAACTGGAAGAAAGGGTATCAGTGACTGAAGATCAAATGAATGAAATGAAGCGAGAAGAGAAGTTTAGAGAAAAAAGAATAAAAAGAAACGAACAAAGCCTCCAAGAAATATGGGACTATGTGAAAAGACCAAATCTACGTCTGATTGGTGTACCTGAAAGTGACGGGGAGAATGGAACCAAGTTGGAAAACAGTCTGCAGGATATCATCCAGGAGAACTTCCCCAACCTAGCAAAGCAGACCAACATTCAAATTCAGGAAATACAGAGAATGCCACAAAGATACTCCTCGAGAAGAGCAACTACAAGACACATAATTGTCAGATTCACCAAAGATGAAATGAAGGAAAAAACGTTAAGGGCAGCCAGAGAGAAAGGTGGGGTTACCCACAAAGGGAAGCCCATCAGACTAACAGCGGATCTCTCGGCAGAAACTCTACAAGCCAGAAGAGAGTGGGGGCCAATATTTAACATTCTTAAAGAAAAGAATTTTCAACCCAGAATTTCATATCCAGCCAAACTAAGCTTCATAAGTGAAGGAGAAATAAAATCCTTTACAGACAAGCAAATGCTGAGAGATTTTGTCACCATCAGGCCTGCCTTACAAGAGCTCCTGAAGGAAGCAATGAACATGGAAAGGAACAACCAGTACCAGCCACTGCAAAAACATGCCAAATTGTAAAGACCATCAATGCTAGGAAGAAACTGCATCAACTAATGAGCAAAATAGCCAGCTAACATCATAATGACAGGATCAAATTCACACATACAATATTAACCTTAAATATAAATGGGCTAAATGCTCCAATTAAAAGACACAGACTGGCAAATTGGATAAAGAGTCAAGACCCATCAGTGTGCTGTATTCAGGAAACCCATCTCACGTGCAGAGACACACATAGGCTCAAAATAAAGGGATGGAGGAAGATGTACCAAGCAAATGGAAAACAAAAAAAGGCAGGGGTTGCAATCCTAGTCTCTGATAAAACAGACTTTAAACCAACAAAGAGCAAAAGAGACAAAGAAGGCCATTACATAACGGTGAAGGAATCAATTCAACAAGAAGAGCTAACTATTCTAAATATATATGCACCCAATACAGGAGCACCCAGATTCATAAAGCAAGTCCTTAGGACCTACAAAGAGACTTAGACTCCCACACAATAATAATGGGAGACTTTAATACCCCACTGTCAACATTAGACAGATCAACAAGACAGACAGTTAAGAAGGATATCCAGGAATTGAATTCAGCTCTGCACCAAGTGGACCTAATAGATATCTACAGAACTCTCCACCCCAAATCAACAGAATATACATTCTTCTCAGCACCACACCACACCTACTCCAAAATTGACCACACAGTTGGAAGTAAAGCACTCCTCAGCAAATGTAAAAGAACAGAAATTATAACAAACTGTCTCTCAGACCACAGTGCAATCAAACTAGAACTCAGGATTAATAAACTCACTCAAAACCACTCAACTACATGGGAACTGAATAACCTGCTCCTGAATGACTACTGGGTACATAACGAAATGAAGGCAGAAATAAAGATGTTCTTTGAAACCAATGAGAACAAAGACACAACTTACCAGGATCTCTGGGACACATTCAAAGCAGTGGGTAGAGGGAAATTTATAGCACTAAATGCCCACAAGAGAAAGCAGGAAAGATCTAAAATTGACACCCTAACATCACAAATAAAAGAACTAGAAAAGCAAGAGCAAACACATTCAAAAGCTAGGAGAAGGCAAGAAATAACTAAGATCAGAGCAGAACTGAAGGAGACAGAGACACAAAAAACCCTTCAAAAAATCAATGAATCCAGGAGCTGGTTTTTTGAAAAGATCAACAAAATTGATAGACCGCTAGCAAGACTAATAAAGAAGAAAAGAGAGAAGAATCAAATAGATCCAATAAAAATGATAAAGGGGATATCACCACTGATCCCACAGAAATACAAACTACCATCAGAGAATACTATAAACACCTCTATGCAAATAAACTAGAAAATCTAGAAGAAATGGATAAATTCCTCAACACATACACTCTCCCAAGACTAAACCAGGAAGAAGTTGAATCTCTGAATAGAACAATAACAGGCTCTGAAATTGAGGCAAGAATTAATAGCTTACCAACCAAAAAAAGTCCAGGACCAGATGGATTCACAGCTGAATTCTACCAGAGGTACAAGGAGGAGATGGTACCATTCCTTCTGAAACTATTCCAATCAATAGAAAAAGAGGGAATCCTCCCTAACTCATTTTATGAGGCCAGCATCATCCTGATACCAAAGCCTGGCAGAGACACAACAAAAAAAGAGAATTTTAGACCAATATCCCTGATGAACATCGATGCAAAAATCCTCAATAAAATACTGGCAAACCAAATCCAGCAGCACATCAAAAACCTTATCCACCATGATCAAGTGGGCTTCATCCCTGGGATGCAAGGCTGGTTCAACATATGCAAATCAGTAAATGTAATCCAGCATATAAACAGAACCAAAGACAAAAACCACATGATTTTCTCAATAGATGCAGAAAAGGCCTTTGACAAATTTCAACAACTCTTCATGCTAAAAACTCTCAATAAATTAGGTATTGATGGGATGTATCTAAAAATAATAAGAGCTATTTATGACAAACTCACAGCCAATATCATACTGAATGGGCAAAAACTGGAAGCATTCCCTTTGAAAACTGCCACAAGACAGGGATGCCCTCTCTCACCACTCCTATTCAACATAGTGTTGGAAATTCTGACCAGGGCAATCAGGCAGGAGAAAGAAATAAAGGGTATTCAATTAGGAGAAGAGGAAGTCAAATTGTCCCTGTTTGCAGATGACATGATTGTATATCTAGAAAACCCTATCATCTCAGCCCAAAATCTCCTTAAGCTGATAAGCAACTTCAGCAAAGTCTCAGGATACAAAATCAATGTGCAAAAATCACAAGCATTCTTACACACCAATAACAGACAAACAGAGAGCCAAATGATGAGTGAACTCCCATTCACAATTGCTTCAAAGAGAACAAAATACCTAGGAATCCAACTTACAAGGGATGTGAAGGACCTCTTCAAGGAGAACTACAAACCACTGCTCAATGAAATAAAAGAGGACACAAACAAATGGAAGAACATTCCATGCTCATGGATAGGAAGAATCAATATCGTGAAAATGGCCATACTGCCCAAGGTAATTTATAGATTCAATGCCATCCCCATCAAGCTACCAATGACTTTCTTCACAGAATTGGAAAAAACTACTTTAAAGTTCATATGGAACCAAAAAATAGCCTGCATTGCAAATCAATCCTAAGCCAAAAGAACAAAGCTGGAGACATCACGCTACCTGACTTCAAACTGTACTACAAGGCTACAGTAACCAAAACAGCATGGTACTGGTACCAAAACAGAGATACCGACCAATGGAACAGAACAGAGCCCTCAGAAATAATAACACACATCTACAACTATCTGATCTTTGACAAACCTGGCAAAAACAAGAAATGGGGAAAGGATTCCCTGTTTAACAAATGGTGCTGGGAAAACTGGCTAGCCATATGTAGAAAGCTGAAACTGGATCCCTTCCTCGCACCTTATAAAAAATTAATTCAAGATGGATTAAAGACTTAAATGTTAGACCTAAAACCATAAAAACCCGAGAAGAAAACCTAGGCTATACCATTCAGGACATAGGCATGGGCAAGGACTTCATGTCTAAAACACCAAAAGCAATGGCAATAAAAGCCAAAATTGACAAATGGGATCTAATTAAACTAAAGAGCTTCTGCACAGCAAAAGAAACTACCATCAGAGTGAACAGGCAACCTACAGAATGGGAGAAAATTTTTGCAATCTAGTCATCTGACAAAGGGCTAATATCCAGAATCTACAAAGAACTCAAACAAATTTACAAGAAAAAAACAAACAACCCCATCAAAAAGTGGGCAAAGGATATGAATGGACACTTCTCAAAAGAAGACATTTATGCAGACAAAAAACACATGAAAAAATGGCTCACCATCACTGGCCATCAGAGAAATGCAAATCAAAACCACAATGAGATACCATCTCACACCAGTTAGAATGGCAATCATTCAAAAGTCAGGAAACAACAGGTGCTGGAGAGGATGTGAAGACATAGGAACACTTTTACACTGTTGGTGGGACTGTAAACTAGTTCAACCATTGTGGAAGTCAGTGTGGCGATTCCTCAGGGATCTAGAACTACAAATATCATTTGACCCAGCCATCCCATTACTGGATATATACCCAAAGGAATATAAATCATGCTGCTATAAAGACACATGCACACGTATGTTTATTGCAGCACTCCTCACAATAGCAAAGACTTGGAACCAACCCAAATGTCCAACAATGGTAGACTGGATTAGGAAAATGTGGCACATGGAATACTAGGAATACACCATGGAATACTAGGCAGCCATAAAAAATGATGAGTTCATGTCCTTTGTAGGGACATGGATGAAGCTGGAAACATCATTCTCAGCAAACTATCGCAAGGACAAAAAACCAAACACCGCATGTTCTCACTCATAGGTGGGAATTGAACAATGAGCACACTTGGACACAGGAAGGGGTACATCATATACCGGGGCCTGTTGTGGGGTGGGGTGAGGGGGGAGGTATACCATTAGGAGACATACCTAAGGTAAATGACGAGTTAATGGGTGCAGCACACCAACATGGCACATGTATACATATGTAACAAACCTTCACATTGTGCACATGTATCCTAGAACTTATAAAGTATAATAAAAAAATATAAAGAATGTTAAAATGAGATTTGAATACATACGAATTCCCAAAGGACACATAAGAATTTCTTAAACTATATGACAATTAGGCATGAGGGTATTTTGGGGGGCTGAATTTACAATTGTATTGCCAGATATCTGATTAGGTTTTAGAAAAACCTATTAAACAGAAATAAAACTCCATTAGAGCGTCACATTTTTAGCTGGTATATAAAAGACATTTTTTAAAAAAATAGCAAGAGATTGATAATGAAGGAAGGGAATTTAAGTGGCAGACATGGCTTTTCTTCTGAAGAGCTACTGCTCAGAACTGATGCATTTTAGTTAAAAATATACCTAATTCAGAGGCGTCTGATTTTATAAATACATTCAGGATAAAAATTGACCTCTATGTTACCTCTATATAAACAACTGAAAAAGAAAATCACCCCATACATTGTTATCTATGAAAATGTTAATCTTATTTTCAACAGAAACACTAACAAGCATAACAATATACAGTTGAACAGATTATATTCTCTTGAGGGGAAAACACTAAAAAATAGTCACAATTCTGGGCCTTTTTCTTGCATGATGTCACAAAATAAATAAATAAAAGGAAAAGATGTCAATTTACTTTGCCTTGGAGATTCTGAATATGTTTTGATACAACAAAAATTAGACATATATTAGAAGAACTACTCCTTGAATTAACACAAAGTCTATTATGAACACAATGAATCAATTTTAGCATGCAAGTGATTTTAAGAAGATAGTTGAAAAATCATCTTGAACAAAGTGATAGATGGAGGCTCACACTGAAGATTATGCCCTGATTCATGTAAAAATATTTGTTTAATTTTTATCTTTCCAAAGAAATATGCCATTTGCAATCCCTTTATGTGGATGTTTCTAGAGTCTACCAACCTCCTGAGCTACTTATGGGGTGTAAAATAGTTTGCCTTATTCCACACAGCATTATGACTCACAAATAACATTAGCGATACGCAGCCAATCTGATACATGACTGGAATATTTACAATTTTAGAATATACAGCAATGAAAAATTTTAAGTTGATCATTGTCAAGTCTAACAAGTGGAAAGGAGATTTTCTTCAAAGTAAGAACCTGAAAACTTCAATGATGGCTATATATTATAAAAATTTAGTTTCCTTATTTAAAAAAAAGTCAGCTCTTCAACAAGAAATTTTAAATGTATCTTTTAAATATTGAAAAATTGAGAATATGTACCAGTTGGCCTCTTAAATTGGGTATCAAACTTATATGCTATGTTGGCTCAAACCAATAACTTGAATTATTTTTTGAATGAATCATTCATTTATTCATTCAACAAATCTTTATGGAATGCCCACCATGTGTTAGGTTAGTTAGATGCTGAACAACAAGTTAAGAAAGTCAGGACAGGCATGGTCTCAGCCTCTTGAAACAAACAGCCTAGCATAAAAACACAATTTCCAATACAGTAAGAAAATGGTATAGTGACAAAATTACAGACGATGTAGTAGTATACATGATAAAGATTTAAGTCAGACGTGGGCAGAATGGATTTGGCAGCAAAATATTCCCAGAGAAAGGTATATCCGAACTGAAGCTGAAGGATTTAAATATAACAGAAGGCAGATAATGCTGTGGGTAGAGGCTCTTTCCATTCATTTCTTATAGCAAGAGGACATTTATAAAGGAATGGGAAGAAGGAGATAGTACTTGGTTTGAGTACAAGCAAATTTAGAAGAGTAGGGTAAGAAACGAACTGGGGCCAAATCATGCAAAAAACTCTTAGGTTATATTAAGGAACTTGCACATTATTCTGAAACAGAGGGAGTAATGAAGGGTTTTAAACAGGAGAGTAAGAGAATCATATTTACCTTTTAGGAAAACACAGACACACAAACACACACACACACACGAGTTACAACTTTAGAAATGAATTTTTAAAGAGTAAAACTAGAAACGGAAAAGCTGGTTAAGAAGCTTCTGTGAAACCCAGGTGAAAGAGGGTGGTAGCACTGGTGATAGAAGTAGCAGTGGGGATGGTAAGATGGGAAATGATTTTCAGATATTTGAGTCATTTTTTCATAGTTGAAATTACCAATACTTGCTAAATCAGTTAATGTTAGTGTGTGGAGCTGGTGAAAGAGATGTTAGCAGGAAGATAATTGGGAGAAGAAGTGTGACCAGGAAAGGACATTGGGAAACATCTGCTACGAGGATGGAGGAAAATAGAAAATGGTGTAAGCTAAGTCAGATAACAGGAATATTTTAAGCAAGGGGTAATATCTTAATGTCTTAAGCAACAGTGTGTTGCTCACTTATATGTCATCACTACTTATCATGTTATATGATGCTTTCTAGGTTCATCACAAACATTTGTTAAATAAATAATTTAATTTAGTAAGCACTGCTACTTATAAGGTTGGGTGCTGGGATGATATATTAGAAAACATACTCCTTATCTTCAAAAAGTTCATAGAACGGTAATAGGAGAAAGACTTACATTATTACCTATAGCATGTGCTAGCTAATGAGAGCTGAATAAAGCTCTAGATCAATAAAAAATGTTAAGGGAAAGTAAAGAAAAAAGTGAGTATTTCTACTTGTGAGTATAAGAAAAAGTAAGGCCAACTGAAGAAAAAACTGAAAAAAGAAGCCTGATGTGGGGGCTTATGCCTGTAATCCCAAGACTTTGGGAGGCTGAGGCAGGAGGATTGGTGGAGGCTAGGAGTTCGAGATTGGCTTGAGCAACACAGTGAGACACCTGTCTGCACAAAAGAAAAAAAAAATTAGCGGGGTATAGTGATGTGCACCTGTAGTCCTAGCTATTTGGTAGGCTGAGGCAGGAGGACTGCTGGAGCCCAGGAATTTAAGGCAACAGTGAGCTATGATTGCACTACTGCTCTCTAGCCTGGGCAACAGAGTGAGCCCTGTCTCAAAAAAGGAGAGGAGTGGAGCAGAGAGGAGAGAAGAGAAGAGGAACTATTGCAAATTTCAGGTAACCTGGTAAGAACAGTTACAGATTTGGCAAATCTTGTTTGATAGGGGTGGAATTTGCTATTTTAAATTGTTTTCATGATTTCTGGGAATGCAATGAACTACTATAGTTTTTAAACTCATGAATACAGCATAAAAATCAACAAGAACAGAACTCGTATCTTTCACTATAAAGTGATCTCATTATCGAATTGAGTTGTCTTACTTTTTGCCACAGAAGCCACTAACAAACCTGTGCATATTTAAACGTGCTCCACAAATAAGAGAATTTCATGAAGATTGTTTTAAAAAGCACTGACTGTAACCTTACTTCATTTGCAAATGATAAACTCTGCAGTATCTATGGTTTCCTTCTATAAGCAAGATCTGTTTTGAGAATGTAATCAAATATCTTCATTGCTTAGCAACCACAGGTAAGGAGCTAATATGTCATGAGTCATGATTCTACGTGAACAGTTTGCAGGTCAGTGGCATGATTTCAATGCCCTTTGGATTCTTGCTGTCATGCTTTCAAAGCCAATATTAATACAAAGTATTAGAATGGATGAGAGTTAAGATGCAAATGCTCTCCTAATCAATCAATTGACATACACATAGTGTGATCTGGTACAGTCTCCTGCATCAAGCTTACACTAGCATCTATAAACCAACACCAGCGTAAAAATAGCCCACAGACATGGTTTCATAAGGAATTTGTGTTTTACCAATTTAGTTAAACCGAAGATGAAGGCACATTTAAATTAGCGTGAAGGTAACGACTCTGACACTCACCTAATCAACAGGAAATCTTCTAAGAAAGAGGAACAGTGGGTAGTGAAACAGTTTTGGAAAACTTTACCTGTAACCATTGTGACTGGTCATTGTGGCCAGAGGTCCAGGCATTCACTTTGCCTTGCTTGTCCAGCCGAGCTTTCCTTGGTTCCCAAGTGAACATGTCCATGTTGAGCGTTCTGAAGATGCTGGAGGCAGTGATCTGATAGTCTTGTATATGTCCTGATTTCATACCCAGAGGCTCAGAACAACCTGAAAGAAAATGAGAAGGGCTCCATGAGAAAAATAATTGATCACCTGGAACTTTTCTGCATTCATTTTGGATAGGCAAGAGAAGATTAAACATAATGCTATTCATTCCTCCAAAGAGAAAACATCTAAATCCAAAAAAAAGCTATAATCAGAAATAAATCTGAAACAAAATCGAAAAACAAGATAGTCAATTCAAGCTATTTTGTCTGAATATATTTTGGAAAAATTGAAAACAAGACAGACAATTTAAACTACTTTTCTGTGATAGATGATTCTGCAAAATGAAAACAATGCTGAAATGCTCTCTCCTGTCTCATTACTGGAGGCCTCCTGACTGCTCCCCAGTTTTCAACAGTTTCATTGTGTCTTTAAAAATGGGACATTTTCTCACAAAGTATTGTTTTTCTTTTATTTGTTTTCAAATTACTGCAAATGAAAATTCCCTCAGTACAAAGTCATTTTCACAAGCTGCTCTACTGCTGTATTCTAAACCGGACAGCATTTTGTTTTTCAAGAAATATGTTAATCTTCATCACTGATTCTTATAGCACCAACATGGCTTCTTCTGTAAGAGAGGAATCTAGTATTTACTGAGGGTATGCCATGTGCCAGGCATTGTGCAAGCATAATTTAAACTAATAGATAACAGAAGATAATAAGATAATTCTAGCAATAACCACCACTGAACAAACCTTTTAATACATTATTTTATTTCAATCATATTCAATAACCTATAAAGTTTAGATATTTTTGTAAGATTCTCAAATCTACCACATGTATTTTTGAGTTTAATACGGTAAAAATTTTGGCTTGCTTGTCCTTGAAAAATTATATGCATGCACATATGTTTGTGTGTGTATACATAGACACAAAATTTCCCAGTCTTGGATTGCAACTGTGACAAAATGCTCTTTACAATTTTTGTAATAGAAAGCATGATTCTATCATCATATGAGCCCGGGGCTGAGTCTTCTTTATGTGAAACTGTTAAATTTTGGTCAAGTAACTCACAAGGTAAGTTTGATCATCAAAGAAACAAAGATGACAAGAGGACACTCCTCCAACCCAATACTTTCTCCTCACACTCTACTGTCTCCCATTTCCCAGCTGTGTAGCCTTGCCCTGTTATTTAACAACTTTCTACCTAAATTTTCTCATCTGTAAGATGGTGATAATAATAGAAACTACCTCAAGGAAGTATTCTAAGAAATTACTTAATAAACATAAAGTACTTAGAAACAGTGCTGGCACACAGCATTCAGTCAATGTTAACTATTTGTATGATTTCTGTAAAACTCATCCCAACAGATGGCAATGGTAAGTCCCCAAATATCAGCATATCAACAAGTACTCAATAATATTTAATTATTGGGTACAGTTTCTAAAACTAGACCTTTTTTGGAGTCTAAACTATAAAAGAGGTGCTTTAGAACTCTTCATTGATCAATAACTCTTAGCTATAACTAATTGCCTTCTGTCCTGGTCTATCTAGATTACTTCTACCTTCTTGAGGCTCCCCATATTTCCCTTCACCTCCACCATCTAGGAAATGCATATCCTATGAAAACATGGAAAACATGACATGGAGGGCTGTGTGTCTTAACACGAGTACATTTTGGTATAGGAGATAAGTATCTGAAGCCTCATATTAAAGATAGCTGTAATGCCTACCTGTATATTCTGGGTGAAAAAAAAGTCATAACAATTCTCTAAGAGTCTAGAAAATTCTAACAGGCTTAATGGCAAGCTGTTTATCTTCAGGAAGTTAGTTTCATAGTGGCATGCATTGTCTACATTGAAAAATTCTGACTTGTTCTTTTATCCCCATCTTTGCCTCTACCTGCATCCCACCCCCCAAGTCTTTGAAAACTTTGCTCAGTTTGCAGGAGATACAAGGGAAGAGGAAAGATAGTTGTTTCCCTCCTTTTGTGATATAACATAGTATTGAAGTACTGGATAGAAAAGGAATGGCTTTACTTTGACCACTTCTGCTTAGCCAAAAAATTCACTTTATATCCATTCTGTTGTCTAGTATTTATCTCAGAATTGCCAAATTATTGGTTCATAGAATGAATGAATGAGTATTCCTCCTCTAATTAGGGTCATAATCTATTTTATTCCAAATATCTTAAGTCATACTTCTTTCAGTGTATTTAGGAGATGATCTTCAAAAGTGTTTGAGAAGAGATTACCTGCTCATCTTCTAGGCAGGGTGAAAGATTTTAATAGCAATTTACTGAATACAATAAGGCTTTACAGTGTTCCACTGGATTGTGGGGAGTAGTTTGGTACATTACATTAGTGTTTATTTCCAGGTGTTACAGCTAACCTCTCTGCCAATGTGCCTCATGCCACAAATTTTACTTCTTATCCATATGATTTCAAGCATATAAATTAATTAACTCTCTTACCAGTGTGGCCAGCACTTGAACAAAATGAAGTATTAACAATGAAATGGGTATTTCTATAATGAAGTGCTCTAGTTTTTTAAAGCATCCATTGAGAGATATTACTCTCTGCATGCAAGTTCAAAATCAATTTGCTGTGCTGGGAGATGCAGCACTGCTTCTTTTTGAGAAAATAAAACCTGTAAAGTGTCAGGTGCAATGTCTTGTCAAACTTGGGAGTAAAATATATTCACATCTTAGGGGTGTAACCGTGCCATGTGTGAAAGACTGACTCTCATGAATCAAAAGACTGAAAAATTGTGGAAGGTGATGTTAAGCAACTAAAAACCATGTGGCTTGCAGCAGATCTCATCATATTGTGGCTTCCTCTTGATTGCTTTATGATAAATGGCTTAGGGATGACACTGGTCTGTGGTGATATAGTGAGATGCAATACAAACACTGTATAGCAATAAGTCTGCTAAGATTTACTGGATCTTAATAACTGGAGTAAACAAACTGGATTAAATTGCCAAAATAAGGAAAATATCTCTGTTAGGAAAATTAATGGTACTAAAGCAAATGTTGGTTGCTTCAAAAAATACACCAACATAGAATATGAAAATGTGATTCTTAAAATAGGCTCACTTGACTGTACAAATTACTTTAATTCTTAAAATGTATTGGGCTTATTAAAAATTGGCTATTTAATAGTAAATTTTATTTGCTTGAAAATCAATCCTTTTTTAGGCAACACAAATAAATTTAGGAAGAGAAACAGATATAAAGTATGCGCTTTAACCTATAGGCAACCTCTTGAAATGAATAAAAAGCTCACAGTTGTCTCTTTGCAGGGACTTGTTCTCCTATTTTTAATTAAGTGGTATTGTTTTAGATTTGGTAAAGGTTTTTCCTCACTTCAGGGTTACACTAAAAAGCGGAGCACACACGCACTTTTAGTTTTCTTCACAGTTATTTGAACAAAATAATTTCAGGCCACTGCAGCAAAGATAGTTTGTAAATTGTGATGCCAGAAATGTAAGAACAACTACCAAAAATATAACAAGTGAAATGCCTAGATACAATTTTCTATTTCATTCAGAATCTAGCTATATTGAAATGGGGCCACTGTAAGATTCACACATTAAGTCCTCATCTTTATAGCTAATATTGATGTTCCTGGGGGACAAGAATTATTTAACTCTGAGTCCTTTGATAGGTTATCCTTGAGTTGGATAACCACTATTTTTACAATAAACAGGTTGCTAGCTAAGAATGATCCAAGAATGAATTTATATTAGCAATCTTGGTATTGAAGTATTGAGGAATGAGAAATTAAATGTTTCATAAAACCTAAAAAAAAGTTCTTATGGTAGACAGACAAAGATAAAGTTCTTATGATAGATGGACAAAGATAAAGCTTACTTTTCTGTGTTACATAGCTTAACCTTTACTGCAATTTATGAGGTGGGACAGATTCCAGTTTTTACTAAACTTTTTGTCGGAAAACATAGATCACAGTTATTATGCAAAACAATGAGACACATTTAAAAGTGACAATTTTCCCGTGAGAATTCCCTGTGCTTTCTTTGACCACTCAACAAAACACATTACTCTTTCTACATTAATTCTACCCTGTAGCATGTTTTAGAACTTGTTTATTCTATACATAAACACACACTGGTTTTCCCTGAACCATGTTGTAGACATTTTTCCCCAGAAAAAAATTTCTATGGTTGTTGAATTTGTAGGTTAGTAACAGGCTACATACAAATATGCTTTTTGTTTTCTTTAAATAGAATACAGAAATAGTTAATTTGAGACTTACCCGACAGTTCACAGCCAAGAAGTTCCATTCGCAAAGTGCAATGTCTTCGACAAACTTGGGGATAGAGTCTTACATACTGAGCTTTTATGGGGGGTGTGAAAGAGTTAGCATATGGAGTGTTGTTATCAATGTTTCCACGAAACACCTGTGTAAAAACAGTTTAAAATTATTCACTGCAACAGCTTATTTACCTATTTTTACATATTTACCCTATCTATACCTTATCGAAAATAATTGTTCGAAGAACAGATTACATTATTTGGGAGCATGGAGCATTTGAGAAGTGCCTTGCCATGAGCACTGAATATAAAACCCAACCATAAACTCCTAATTAAAGCCATAAACCACTGTGGCTCATGACATGATCTATATTCCACTGTGATGGTCTTGTCAATTTTAAGGCCAGTCTTTCAGAACCAGGGCAGCGCTCTTCTCTTTTTTTGAGAAATGGACACCTTAAATCCTTCAATTTAATCTGGGACTGTCTGCTCATTTTCCTACTTAGTATTCATACTTTTGGGGGTAGAATCCAGTCTTTGCTACTGCTTCCGGATCATCCAGTCTCTCTAATGCTATGATTAGATTTATGATGCTTTAAGGTTTGACTCATGAAGATTATGTCTTCATCAACCAGTCCCATGTACTTGGATAATAGAATTCCTTATTAAAATTTCCAGCTAAAAACTATGTTTGCCTCTAAAATTCAAGTACTATAATGTGTCATTGTAAATTCATTAAGGCTTATTCTTATTTTACCTTTTATGTAAACCTGATAATCCAAAAACCTTATTTAAATTCATTTAAGGGGGTAATTTTAAAAATATTTTATATAATTTATTAGAGTCTGGTATAATGCCTGATTAAATGGAATGATCTCCAGTCCTGATATTTTTAAAATTAAAATTTTCGATGAAGAACTAACAAAAGAATTGAGAATATCATAAGAAAAGAAAAGGAAGTATTGAATATAATATTCAATACCTCTAAAATATTTTATTTTGCTAAGTAACAAATCTTTCTTCCAATATGAAGCATATAAAGATATATATCTCTTCTATCACTTAGTGCTTTTTTGCTTTTAAGAAAATAGTTTTCATTAATATAATAGTTATCTCATTAAGGAGTGCGTTAATCAGCCGGGCGCGGTGGCTCACGCCTGTAATCCCAGCACTTTGGGAGGCTGAGACCGGTGGATAAGGAGGTCAGGAGATCGAGATCATCCTGGCTAACACGGTGAAACCCCATCTCTACTAAAAATACAAAAAATTAGCCGGGCGTGGTGGTGGGCACCTGTAGTCCCAGCTACTCAGAAGGCTGAGGCAGGAGAATGGGGTGAACCTGGGAGGCAGAGTTTATAGTGAGCCGAGATCGCGCCACTGCACTCCAGCCTGGGCAACAGAGTGAGACTTTGTCTCAAAAAAAAAAAAAAAAAAAGTGCGTTAATCACGAAAGCAATAAAAATGTATCATTAAAATAAAGCTTAATTGTCATACAAAAGACTGTGTCCACCTGTGTCAAAGTATTTGTAGCACCACCAATTAAAATCTGTGAAAATCTTAAATGTCAGCCATTTTAAGTTTATAAACTGGAGAATTACTACTTCCTTCATCACACTAGCCCAATTAAAAACAAGACGCATTGGTAATTTATTTTCATCAACATAAGTCTTCTCCTGAAGACCTTGTCATTTGATAATCAATAATTATCAATGACATTTTTCTTTTAAATTAAGTAGGTTAAATTATTCTTACCATGTCTTCATTGGTGCCTTTCACTTTGTACATTGCCCAAGTCTTTCCATCATTACTGTAGGCAATTTTGTAGGATTTTATATACTCTGGGCTTCCAATCCTCTTGGCTCCTTGGGTAATCACACCAGTAACTCTCATTTTCCTTTGCAAATTTATCTGAAAAGACGAGCACAACCAACAATAATCTTATTGTTTTCAGGATAACAATACTGAAAATACGAATTTTAGAAATGAAACATTGTTAATGCAGATTAATAATAACATAAAAAGCTAATAATTTTCATGGATAAATGTTTACAATAGGCATATATTAAATTTAGCTTCAAAATCCCTTTCTGTAATGGAATACTATTTTTAAGTAAACAAATATTTGTGAACAGGCTTTGAAAAGGGCAATGTGCCCCAAAAACATAAGTATAGAAAGCATCTGCGTTCTCACGATATGCAGATGTAACTTAATAAACTGAAAACTTGGAATATTCTCTTGTCAAAATAATCTCAGTGTCATTACTATAAAACTCTATTGTCAACATAACTATTAATGTGTATAAACTGATTTAAGCTTCTAGAAATTTCCATTTACAATAAAACATGACAATTTCACTGAGATCTTTGAATACCAGAATTTTAAAAAGTAAAGACAAAAATGATGTCCAAACCAAAAACAAACAAGTATCCCTTAAGTTTCTGGATCTTTACACTGTAGTCTGTGGAGCATTTTTTAAAAAAATTAAATGATTGCTTTTTTCTTCATTTTATTATAAGTAAAATTTCTAACTGGAATTTTCTGTCTCCATATTTTCTCCCCATTCCAAATCCCTTTACAACAGTTTGCTTCAGGAGTAACATACATCAAATAAAATTGTTAATATTCTTCTCATGTTTAATAGAGATATCTTTTTGACACTTAACACTTAATAACTAAATCAAATGCTACAATGTAGAAAAGTGCCTTATTCATATATAGTAAACATTAAAATTTCACATATTGTAAACATTAAAATTAAAATGCCTTTATGATGTCTATAAAATCTTTTAAATGTTCTTGATAAATTGCTATAAATCACCCTCTCCAAAAATATAAATTGGAAAAATTTAAATATGTCATACCATAATATTAAGTTAATGATTCAGATATTATTTTCCAAAGAAAATCAGAAAATCTTCAGATTCATGTAAGTGATTAGAGTTTTCCACTGTAGGAGGAGACTTTGAGAGTTAGCATTTGAAATGGTCCACGGTGTGCATGATGAAAACTGCCACCCTATCGCCATTGTTTCTGAGTCTCCCAAAGTCTCATCTTCCCCGTTGAAACCTCATAAAATCCTTCCCTCAACTATTTCCCACAAGGTGATTCTCAGTCTTGTTCATATATAAAGAAAATCTGGAGTTTTGATGAGTACAATTTTTTGTGTTAAAATTCTGGGCCGATGGTCCCTTTTTTCCTTGAACAATGCTAAGTGGATGGACTCAGATATCCAAGTTAGGTTTTCTCATTTTGATGTTCAGACATCACACAACAACTATAACCATGAGTACATTTTAAGTCCCATTCCTCTTTGGAGGTTCAAAAAGACAATATCCCTCATGAATGTAAATTTTACTTACTACTCTTAATATTTATCTACATTTATCTCCATTAGTCCTTTAAAGATTGATTTTGGAGTTTTAACTATGCAACTTGAAAGAGGGAATGTTTGAAAGATGTTTACTTCAGTATGTTAGGTCAATTAGCACATCGCTATGAAAGAGTCATATTCTTTCATTATCTTATGCATGACATTTTCTTTTTTTTTAATCTGAGACTCTTTGTAGTTTAAACATTTCCAATACATACAATATGCACAGTGGACACTTTGAATCATGTTTTCTCCCATTTTGGAAGCCAAGTTTCACATCTGATGTTGCTGAACATTCCTTTTTCAATTATCTTTTATCTCATTTCAATTATCTTGTTTATACCTGTTGTAGACAGCCAAATTATCTTTGCTAGAGTTTTGGCTCATAAGCTATAGACACTAATTTTCTAAAGCTTTAATTGTAGATGCATAATAGTTTGTATTTTTCTCTAAATCATTAAAAATCATGTAAAAATTCTCTTTGCTCTAATATTTAGAAGCTCTGCATATATATTTTAGGAAGATGGAACTGCAGTTAGTTAAGCATCACCCAGTTTGGGTTGTGTCTAACTTTTAGTAGATATTTGTAATTAAATTTTGGCACTGTTTCCATTAAACACAAAATTAAAATGAAAAAATTTATAAAAATACAGGCTCAGGCTCACTAAGTTTTAGTAATTACAGGTTTTAAACTTTTGACTTTTCATGTATCTAGCACTATTAAGCTTGGAAAATAATTCAATATAAGGAAGCTAAGCTGTCACCATCATAGTCATACTCAAATTTAATACCAGTAAACTATGTTGCTATAGGAAATAAACTAAGTAAGCCTTGGAGGAAATATATAGTATGATTTTGGAAACACCTCCACTTACAAGTATCTGCAAGTAATTCCTTTCCATCCCATTCCAACATTATTTTGTGATATCTCTGTAAAATAACAATGGCTAAAAGGTGATCTTAATTTTATTCTCCCTGTATGAACTATCCCACATACTATGTAAAAGGTCTATTGAGGATTGCATCAGAAATGCCTAAATTATTCTCTATGAGCTTGGTGGATGCCTGAAAAGGAAATAAAATATTTTCATTTATGTATCTGATTTCAGAGAAATTGTTGTTCCACTGGGTGGTAGGAACACTGTGTATCCTTAAAAAGCAGAAGTGCATTCTAAGGTATTTTGAACAAATGGTAGCCTCCTACATTAATATAAATAGAATGATAATCTGAATCTAGAATGCTTAGAACATATGCTAAGGGTATGCAGAAGGGAGGAATGGACTAATGGGGGTTTCAGTCTTGGTTTTGTCACTTCCGACCTATATAATCTTGAACAATTTGTCTAAGCTTTTTGAAATTTAATTTCCTCCCTGTAAAGGAGGTTTTAATAAAATATGTGAATATTATATGATATGTGCATGTAAAACATTAACAACATCTGCCACCTAGAAAGCACTTAGAACATGTTTTTTATTTTAAGTTTTTGGTTTTTTTTTACATGAAAAAGAGCAAAAAAGCATTTTCTTTACATCTTCTGCCTTTAACCACTCAATGCCAGAAAATTTGGATTTTGAGAAGTGTATTATAAAAGCCGATAATCATAACGATATGGGGTGGCGACAGGGAAGTGCTGGGAGGAGAAGGGCAGGGACCCTGGCGAGCGTTCCACCCTCGGGCCTGTGCCCACGGATCTAGGTGAGGACAAACACTAGTGTTTTCATGCCCAAATGTTGCATTTTCCAAGAGCACCTGTCCCGCCACACCCCATCCTGTGCCTGTAAAAGCCCCCAGACCCTAGTGGGCACACACACAAGCAGCTGGGCACTGAGAGGAACAGACCAGCAGAAGAGCACACAGGTGGCTGGATGTGGAGAGGAGCAGAGGAGCAGAAGAGCACCACCGACAGGCACCGGTAGACGCCAGCAGGCCATCGACCCATGGAATGATGTGGATACCAAGGGGAATTTGGCCAGGACAGTTGGAGGAGAGTCCTGCCGCTGAGCAGCCCAACTCCAGAGGAAGACCACCTTCCCACTCCATACCCTCCTGGCTCCCCATCCACCTCACTGAGAGCTGCTTCCACCACTCAACAAAACCTTGCACTCATTCTCCAAGCCAACATGTGATCTGATTTTTCCGGTACACCAAGGCAAGAACCCCGGGATAGAGAAAGCCCTCTGTCCTTGTGACAAGGTAGAAGGTCTAATTGAGCTGATTAACATAAGCTGCCTACAGATGGCAAAACTAAAAGAGCACACTGTAACATGCCCGGTGGGGCTTCAGGAACTGTAAACGTTTACCCCTAGAAGCTGCTGTGGGGTCAGAGCCCACGCTCCCAATGACCTGCCCATCTGTCTCCTCCCCCTAAGGGTTTTGCACAGTGAGACACTGAAGAAGGGAGCCACATCCCATCACACACCTTGCAAGGGGGACAAGGGAACTTTTCCCGTTTCAATAACAAGCATATAAAGATAATTTTGCAAACAACTTTCAAAGCTATATACTAATAAGACATTTAGGGCTACTATGGTTAAGAGTGTGTGTGTGTGTGTGTGTGTGTGTGTGTGTGTGTGTGTGTTTAAATCTAATCATGAGTCTTACCATGGGGGGTGGGATTAATGGGTTCTTGACAAGACAGCAACTAGCATGGGCTACTGGTCCTCTCTACTGAATCCAGCACTTAAGATGCCCTGGAACAGAACATTGCTGAGCAGGCTTTGAAATTTATCGTACTTGAACACAAAAACTATGGTAAAGCCTTAGTGTAAGTGGAAATTTGAGATCCCAGTGTATGTTTGTGTAGCTGGGGTTTATTGAGGGTAACTCCAAGGGCTCATAAAGGTTATCAGGCTTGGGAAGAACTTTCTAAATGTTCTATTTCTCTTTCTCATTCTCATTTTGCTTATTGAGCTCTTTCTGATCTACCCAGTTCCAGCCCACTGCCAGTGAGAAGCAGTGGAAAAATGTGGGCCAGGCTTAGACAGGAGTCTGCAGGCACTAGCAGGCCTGAGTGTTGTACCCTCTGCCCTCCACATCACAGGTTATGGACTAAGGAGGTAAATCAGAGTGATGAGGTCCTGGTAAGAGCAGTGTCTAAGGCAGATGAAGTATTTTGTGGGAAAGGGGACTGTAGAGTCAGTACAGATTATAATTCTGCTATAAGGTATCCTCTCTACATCAACTCAATCCATTTGTAGTAGCTGAAGCTGGGACATGAATTTTACCCTTCCTTCTAGATACATCACTAGCTAAGGTATTAATAACAAATTCTCTAGGGAATGTAAGCACCATGATCAAAAGGAAAAAACAGAACTAATACTAGAATAAAATGTAGTCTAATGGAGAACAGATTCAGACTTTAAAATTCAAAAGAAATCCCTGAAAAGACGAAGATTTTCTGAAACATAAGACAGGAACAAGCATATAAATAAGAACCAATTGGTGATACTGGATAATTGGACATAAAAAGATAATTGTCTAAATAAAATTCCCAATGGAGTGGTTTCAATAGCAAAGAAGCAAAGAGACACAGCTGAAGAATATAAACTAGTAAGCAGCAAGACAGTGTTATAAAACCCTTTCCAGAAGGGAAGAGGATGGATTGCTGAGATTTCTCATATTGGGAGATGATGCAACTAACAATTTACTTTGAAAATTCTAGAGACGCAAGAAATAGTAAAAACTAATTTAAAAGTTCTGCAAGTTTGCTTAATAGAAGATCAACATATAACTATTCTACACCAGCAATTATCGACTGAAAATATAATCAAAATAGTGTGATACCGGCACACATGGAGACAGATGAATAGAACAGAATAGAAAACCAATAGACTCCAATATGCAGGAAACTTTTGTATATGAAATAAATAATATTTAAATGAGAGGAAAAAAGACAGAGTATTAAATAATTGGGACAATTTGATAGATTTCTCAAATAAATTTAGATCATTGCCTATCATCCTATCCCAAAATAAGTTCCACAAAATTATCAGAGGAAAACACAGAATTAAAAACAATCTCAGAGATAAAAAAATGGGTTTCTATTCATGACACTAGATTTAAAAATGTTATTAATTAAAGTAAAAATTTCTGCAAGATTAAAAGCAAAATAAATACAAATGACAAATGGGGATTAAACTTTTACAAATTATATCATAGCAAATGGTTGATCAATCAAAGATATTAGATTATACATATTGATAGATAAAACACAACTAACCCAATAGAAATGAGCAAAGGATTTGATTAGTAGCCATTAAAAGGAATGAATATGGATTTTAAACATATGAAAAGATAATCATATTCATAAAAAAGTAAATTAAATCTACACCAAGTAATCATAATTCACCTATCAAAAACAAAAATAAAAATGTTGGACTACACAATATTAGCAAGAATATGGAGAACTAGGCATGTTTATATCTATGAGACTATAAATGACATAGTTTTCATGTGATAGTGTAATGACATCATATTTATGAAAGACAATTTGGTTATATGTAACAATGACAAACACACATCCTCTTTAACTCAGCAATTCTATTTAAAAAATGTATCCTACAAGTATGAGTAAACTGATGTTGGCAAAAAGTTATTCCCTACAGCACTGTATATAATAAAACACAAATTCAAACAATTTAAAGTATCTATAAATAGGCATCTAAGTAATTTTATTATGAAAAAGTACAGAAAAGAAGATACTATTTACTTGTAAAACATAAGAACAAGAATGAAGGAGGAAGGGAGGGAGTAACAGAGGGGGTGAGAAAAGAATGGAGGGATGGTGGAGGGAGAGAGAGAGATCTTAGCATAATGCTGTGGAAAGAGTAGTAAGACTTCAGCAACAGGACAGTGTATTGCATACTCCCCAAAATTTTAAAAAGTAAACACTTTTATTACAAGAACACCACAGGTAAAGTTCACAGGAAGGTGACAATCTGGGAGAAGATATCTGCATGTCTAGATTTGACAGGGGCTGCTTCTTCTTCTTCTTCTTAAAAAGTAAACAGAACCAAAGACAAAAACCACATGATTATCTCAATAGATGCAGAAAAGGCCTTTGACAAAATTCAACAACTCTTCATGCTAAAAACTCTCAATAAATTAGGTATTGATGGGACGTATCTCAAAATAATAAGGGCTATCTATGACAAACCCACAGCCAATATCATACTGAATGGGCAAAAACTGGAAGCATTCCCTTTGAAAACAGGCACAAGACAAGGATGCCCTCTCTCACCACTCCTATTCAACATAGTGTTGGAAGTTCTGGCCAGGGCAATTAGGAAGGAGAAGGAAATAAAGTG
The DNA here is from genome assembly GCF_000001405.40 of Homo sapiens. NCBI lineage: Eukaryota > Metazoa > Chordata > Mammalia > Primates > Hominidae > Homo > Homo sapiens. The sequence goes on from NC_000005.10 coordinate 84,073,377, forward strand.
TATTCAATTAGGAAAAGAGGAAGTCAAATTGTCCCTGTTTGCAGATGACATGATTGTATACCTAGAAAACCCCATTGTCTCAGCCCAAAATCTCCTTAAGCTGATAAGCAACTTCGGCAAAGTCTCAGGATACAAAATCAATGTACAAACATCACAAGCATTCTTAAACACCAACAACAGACAAAAAGAGAGCCAAATGATGAGTGAACTCCCATTCACAATTGCTTCAAAGAGAATAAAATACCTAGGAATCCAACTTACAAGGGATGTGAAGGACCTCTTCAAGGAGAACTACAAACCACTGCTCAATGAAATAAAAGAGGATACAAACAAATGGAAGAACATTCCATGCTCATGGGTAGGAAGAATCAATATCGTGAAAATGGCCATACTGCCCAAGGTAATTTATAGATTCAATGTCATCCCCATCAAGCTACCAATGACTTTCCTCACAGAATTGGAAAAAACTACTTTAAAGTTCATATGGAACCAAAAAAGAGCCTGCATTGCCAAGTCAATCCTAAGCCAAAAGAACAAAGCTGGAGGCATCACGCTACCTGACTTCAAACTATACTACAAGGCTACAGTAACCAAAACAGCATGGTACTGGTACCAAAACAGAGATCTAGATCAATGGAACAGAACAGAGCCCTCAGAAATAATGCCGCATATCTACAACTATCTGATCTTTGACAAACCTGAGAAAAACAAACAATGGGGAAAGGATTCCCTATTTAATAAATGGTGCTGGGAAAACTGGCTAGCCATATGTAGAAAGCGGAAACTGGATCCCTTCCTTACACCTTATACAAAAATTAATTCAAGACGGATTAAAGACTTAAATGTTAGACCTAAAACCATAAACACCCGAGAAGAAAACCTAGGCATTACCATTCAGGACATAGGCATGGGCAAGGACTTCATGTCTAAAACACCAAAAGCAATGGCAACAAAAGCCAAAATTGACAAATGGGATCTAATAAAACTAAAGAGCTTCTGCACAGCAAAAGAAACTACCATCAGAGTGAACATTCAACCCACAAAATGGGAGAAAATTTTCTCAACCTACTCATCTGACAAAGGGCTAATATCCAGAATCTACAATGAACTCAAACAAATTTACAAGAAAAAAACAAATAACCCCATCAAAAAGTGGGCAAAGGACATGAACAGACACTTCTCAAAAGAAGACATTTATGCAGCCAAAAGACACATGAAAAAATGCTCACCATCACTGGCCATCAGCGAAATGCAAATCAAAACCACAATGAGATACCATCTCACACCAGTTAGAATGGCAATCATTCAAAAGTCAGGAAACAACAGGTGCTGGAGAGGATGTGGAGAAATAGGAACACTTTTACACTGTTGGTGGGACGGTAAACTAGTTCAACCATTGTGGAAGTCAGTGTGGCGATTCCTCAGGGATCTAGAACTAGAAATACCATTTGACCCAGCCATCCCATTACTGGGTATATGCCCAAAGGACTATAAATCATGCTGCTATAAAGACACATGCACACGTATGTTTATTGCGGCACTATTCACAATAGCAAAGACTTGGAACCAACCCGAATGTCCAACAATGATAGACTGGATTAAGAAAATGTGGCACATATATACCATGGAATACTATGCAGCCATAAAAAATGATGAGCTCATGTTCTTTGTAGGGACATGGATGAAATTGGAAATTATCATTCTCAGCAAACTATCGCAAGGACAAAAGACCAAACACCGCATGTTCTCACTCATAGGTGGGAATTGAACAATAAGAACACATGGACACAGGAATGGGAGCATCACACTCTGGGTACTGTTGTGGGGTGGGGGGAGTGGGGAGGGATAGCATTAGGAGATATACCTAATGCTAAATGACGAGTTAATGGGTGCAGCACACCAGCATGGCACATGTATACATATGTAACTAACCTGCACATTGTGCACATGTACCCTAAAACTTAAAGTATAATAAAAATAAAAATAAAAAAGTAAACATTTTTATTACAAGAACATCACAGGTAAAGTTCACAGGAAGGTGATAATCTGGGGGAAGATATTTGCAACATCCAAATTTGACAGGGGCTTCTTCTTCTTCTTCTTCTTCTTATTATTTTGAGACGGAGTCTTCCTCTGTCACCCAGGCAGGAGTGCAATGGTGCAATCTCAGCTCACTGCAAACTCCGCCTCCCAGGTTCAAGCAATTCTCCTGCCTTAGCCTCTCGAATAGCTGGGATTCCAGGCGTGTGCCACCACTCCTGGCTAATTTTGTATTTTTAGTAGAGATGGAGTTTCTCCATGTTGGTCAGGCTTATCTCAAACTCTCAACCTCAGGTGATCTGCCCGTCTCGGCCTCCCAGAGTGCTGGGATTACAGGTGTGAGCCACTGTGCCCGGCCCACAGGGGCTTATTACTAAGTACACTAGTTCTCAACCATATGGTCTCGGTACTTTTTTAAACCTTGTACAAATTATCAAAAGCCCCAAAGTACAAACACGTGCAAAAGTGTGCACGCACACACACACACACACACACACACACAGACACACACTCACGTGCCATTGTGGGTTTTATATATATATATATATATATAAATATTTATCATATTAGAAATTAATACTGACAAATTAAAAATATATTAATTCACCTAAAAATGACAATAATGAACAGGTTAAATATTACCATTAACACTACATTTTTATGAAAATAATTATATTGTTCAAAAACAAACAAAAATTTACTAAGAAAGAGTTATTTTATATTTTATCAAATCTCTTTCAAATCTAGCTTAAGAGAAGACAGGTTCTCATATTTGTTTCTATATTCAATCTATTGCAATATGTTGTTTTGGTTGCAATATAGGAAGAAAATGTAGCTTCATACAAATATGCAGCTAGAAAAGAAGAGATGACTTAGCAACTTTTCCAGATAACTGTAGATATTCTTTGATACCATACCAAAACTTGAAAAGTTTGCTTTTTAAATTTTAACAAAAGTAGTTTGTTAAATTTTAGATGCTTTGTGGAATCTGAAATCTACCAATGAAGATTTTGTATTCCTTGTGTTAAAATCCATTGGTCTATTTTGCACTTTGAATGGATTTTTCACCCATGCATGGTTTTGTAACATTATACATTGGTCATTTGCAACATACTGGCTCACCGAGCTACGTAGATTTTCTAAGCGATGACACATTTCACTATATAATACAAAAACTTGCACTGATTAATATCACCACCAATTTCATCAGAAAAGTTTTTAATTATTGGAATGTATGAAACTCACATTGATAGTTACAAGTTTTCCAAAATTATAAATTTCACTTGAAATTTCCAATTTTATAACTAGCAACAAAGACTGTCAGCTGTTTTCATTGATGTGGCAGGATTGCTGTATTCATTTTCAAGACAATATCTGCCTGATACCCAGGTATGAATAACTATAGTTGGTCTGTCAGTTGTTCTTTGAAGTAAACATGATACAAAAAAGTAGGGGAAAGGAGTTGTTTACCTTGAAACTCACACAATCTTGCAAAGGCTTTTCCTGTAGACAATGGTCACATTTCAGTACTCAGCAAAAGTGCTTTATGCATAAACCCCTTTTCATCACACAGAATACTATAGACTTAAAAAGGATTGACATTTAATAAAATAATAGAATTAGTTATCATTACTGCTTCATCAAGGATGTTCTTAAATGAATTGGATACTCTCTTTTTTTACTCATAAGTGTGTAAAATAGAGATAAATACAATGATGACTAGTATAGTTTGATGCTATCGTCATGATTTGTGCCAAGGCACTAGCAGTTTTACTCACCACTGTTTGTGGCATCAGTACAAACGTTAACAGAGTAAAAGTGGCAAATATCGTCTTAGAAATATTATGAAAATTGTGTTGATTTGTGAATCTCCTGAATGAGTCTTTGGGATCCCCTGCTTCTTCAAGGGATATGTGAACTGCATTTTCAGGTGAGAATAACTGATCTAAAATATACAAGGGTGTATGAGTCCATTTTCATACTGCTATGAAGAAATACCTGAGACTGACTAATTATAAAGAAAAAGAGGTTTAATGGACTCACAGTTCCACATGGCTGGGGAGGGCTCACATGGCAGAAGGCGAAGGAGGGGCAAAGTCCCATCTTACATAGTAGCAGGCAAGAGAATGTATGCAGGGATCTGCCCTTTATAAAACCATCAGATCTCATGAAAGTTATCCACTATCATGAGAACAGCATGAGAACAGCATGGGAAAACCTGTCCCCATGATTCAATTACCTCCCACCGGGACCCTCCCCTGACACATGGGGATTATGGGAGCTACAATTCAAGATGAGATTTGGGTGGGGATCTAGCCAAATCATATCTAGCCAAATCATATCAAATCATATCTTCTCCCTTCTTTCTTCCTCTTCCCCTCCTCCTCCTCTTTCTTTTCTCTTCCACTTCTTCTTTTCTTCTTTCTTTTTCTTCCTCTTTTTTTTTTGCAAATCACATAGACACACACACAATGCAAAGAGATGAGGAAATCAATAGAAAATGGAGCAAATGATATTAAAGGTAACTCAGAGAAAATCTTCACTATTAAAGAAATGCAATTTTGTTAAAAAAAGATACAACAATTTACAGCCAACAGAATGGCAAAACAAAAATATCAAATAATATCAAGTATTGGTGAAGTATTCTGATGCTGATGATGGGAATGTAAACTAGCATAGCCATTTCTATCTGTTAGTTGTTAGTAAAATTAAGCAACCCTATTTCTGGGTATTTTTCCCTGAAAAACTTTTGCATAAGTGCTCAAGAAGAAATCCACACACATATCTATTGTAATAACTTTTATGTTAGCAAAGGAGAGCAGCTTAGGTGACTATCCCCAGAGGAATCGAATATTAAAATATAAAGTGTACCTGTGTGTATGTGTGTGTGTGTGAGCTCTCACACAATAAATATACTCTCTAAGAATCAGAAATGATGAACTGGGTTTTTATACGGATATCTAAAAAACATAAGAATATGTGAAAAAGAAACAAGATAATTAAATACACACAGTACCATGTATGTAAATTTAAAAACACACCTTATGATATAACATCATGTACTCTCCAATAATTGACTTCAAATCAACACAAAGAAGGTAGAATGAAAGGTTACACATCAGCTACTAGGTTGGGCTCACATAGAGGAAGAGGAATAGGAAGGAAGGTGGGAAGAGAATAACAATTTAATATTAAATGGCAAGATACCTTACCCAGACTGATGATAATAATGTGCCTTGAAATAGGGAGGTGAAGTCTTACATCAGTGCTGGCAGGTGAGATCTGAAGTGGGGGAAAAATCATTGGTTTCTCCTTTACTTCTCTATTCTCAAGGAAAATGACTTAAGTATGGCCATATTATGCAATAGCACAGTTACCTACAAAAGTGATAGGAATGTTGAATACAGAGGTCCTAAATCCATTGGAATTTTTTGGGTGATAGAAACCTCTTTTGTTCTAATGTGGTGACTCTTGATAGGCTCCTGAATAGCCTTGGGATGAGAGTGGTGGCCAAGGGAACCAATCAGGTGATTGGAGGGTTGGAACTTCAGCCCCACCCCTGCCCCGTCCTCTAGGAAGAGGAGAGGGACTGAAGGTTGAGTTCACCATTACTGGCCAATGATTTCATCAATCAGGCCTAAATAATGAAACTTCTATAAAACCTCCAAAGAACAGGTTTCAGACAGCTTTCGGGTTGCTGAATACACAGAGGATCCTGTAGGGTGTCACATCAGAGAGGGCAAGGAAGTTCCTCTTCTCTTCTCCCATATCTCACCCTATGCTTCTCATCTGCTTGTTCATCTGTATCCTTTGTAATATCCTTTATAATAAACAAGTAAATGTGTTTCCCTGAGTTCTGTGAGGCATCCTAGCAAATTATTTGAACCCAGTGAGGGTGTAGTGGGAACCCCAATTCAGATGCAATTAGCGTCTGAAGTCTCGTGGAACTGTCTTGAGGAAGTCTTGTGGGACTGGGCCTTTAACCTATGGCGTGTGCAGTAACTGGGGTTAGTGTAAGAGTGTGCAGTAACTGTAGAATACTCAGTCAGTGTCCACTGAATAACTGGTTGTTGGTGGGGAGAATCACCGTTTTGTGACCAGAAGTAAAGTGTTAAGTGAAAGAGTAGGAAATTTTTTTTTTTCTATCTCAAACAAGTATGTTTTCAACTGGTCACAGTGAAAACAATTCTCCTACTAGGGCTTTTGCTTGGGAGCTGGCAATACAAATGTGTCTCAGGCAAAAAGAACAGGTAACCATCTGTTTTGGGTGATACCAGAAATAACTTGAGCTTCCCAGACAGTTCTAAATAGACTTCCAATGATTTGGATTGCAAATATGTCACTTAAGGGATTTAAAAAAATAAACAGACAAGCATGATCACCTAAAGTTTCCAGTTAAAAAGCACAGTTAAAAAAGTTACAGGGATTTGCAACTCCCCTGTTCTTTCACATTATCTTATTAATATAAAGTATTTTATCAAATGCATCATTAACACATTCTGTGAAGGCTTGGGTGGTGAGAAGCATCATGAACACACCTAAGGAGGAAGGCTTTGGAGGTGTTTAAGGATAAAAAGAGTAACTCTGGTTCACGCCTGTAATCCCAGCACTTTGGGAGGCCGAGGCGGGCGGATCATGAGGTCAGGAGATCGAGAACATCCTGGCTAACACGGTGAAACCCCGTCTCTACTAAAAATACAAAAAAAAAAAAAAAAAAAAAAAAAAAAAAAATAGCCCGGCGTGGTGGCGGGCGCCTGTAGTCCCAGCTACTCGGTGGGCTGAGGCAGGAGAATGGCGTGAACCTGGGAGGCGGAGCTTGAAGTGAGCCGAGATCGCGCTGCCACTACACTCCAGCCTGGGTGACAGAGCGAGACTCTGTCTCAAAAAAAAAAAAAAAAAATTAACTCAAATATAACTAGTCCTAGTGGCTACAGTAGAGTCTCTCTTAAACCACCTCCAAATCAGCAACAACCTGAGCACTGACACTCTTCACTGCCGCTGTGAAACATAATTGCTGCTCTACACATCTGGCACTTTGGGCTGTTCTCTGCTAAGCCAACTCTCTTCTGTTCTTGCAGATTAATTGCACGCTCATCAAGGGTCATTTGTGTTTGTTCCCCAATCTGTTTTCTTTTCAAGTTGTGATTGTTATTCTACTTATGTAATCTAATTAAACACAATTGATAAAATGTGACTGGAAAAGAAAAGGTTTTTTTCTATAAAAACATGAAAAAGCTTTCTGAAAAACCTCAAAAAGGCATAGTACTAAAGAGTCTATAATATTGGGATAATTAATTGATATCTAGGATTCTATACTTGAATAACTTCACCAATATGTTTAAACAATGAAATAAAAAGAAGTATCAATTATAAATTTCTTGACGTAGTTTATCTAAGAAACATAGTATGGAATTTAAATGCTTTTTTATTTTAATCAAGGTTTTTAGTAACTAACCAAACACTAGTTCTGATGCTCCAGATAAAAGGACCTTTAAACTATCCTCCATGTTCTGAATGCTGGTTAGCCTTTGACATGTGTTCAATTAACTTAATTGTCCTCTTTGAATAACCATGGGAAAAGAACACATATGCATAAACATAAAACTATAATCTCTTTATGATTCTCTGCACCTGGTAAAACTTCCAATTAAAGTGAAACACCCCATTCATTACACAGCATGTAACAGGAGCAATACACCACCAGGGGTGAAAGCTGTTGGCATTTCCAGGAGTCGGGGCCAGGTATAACCATTTCATCTGAATTTCCACCTGTTTCTGAAGGGCTTCCACTATATTGTACTCATCTCTCCTCTCTTGGTACCAGCTGTTAGAGTTTCTTCACATCCTCCATCACCCACAGCTACACATTCAGGAGTGAACTGAACTGGGGCTACATGGTTTTGAAAACTACAGCTTGTATATCAAGTTTGATGAAATTGTAAATATTAAGGTAGTCTCGAACTCTTGTAAATAAAGATAAAGTTGAAGAAGAAACAAGAGGAATAAAAAGAGCAAACGATGTCAGCACATGAGTAGAAATGCTAATCCCAATAAAAACCACATTAGAAACAATGAAATTAAGGTCACTTTGCTAATGAATATTTTTGAAAGAAGCCAGAGTGTTACCAAAAAGAAAAAAAAAAGTCTTTAATGCACAATCTCAGGGGCAGTAAGTGTGCTATGAAGGGGAGAGGGAAGAGGAATGCTGTGTGCGAGGCTTGACTTTCTTACATTTCTATAGGTGGCTCATGCCAATAAGCATTGGCTCTTTAGTTGTTGTGAAATGGGCTGTACAAAAGCAAACAGCAAAATAATCACCACAAACCTGTTCAACCAAAAGAAAAAAAAACAGAAAAATAATTGCTGTTGAAACATTTTAAGGAGTTTATTAGTTAAAAACTTTTTAACAGAGAGATGGGGAGGTGCATTACTTCTAAGAGCTGACCCAGGCATGATGGACAAGAATCTCACCACAGGGTCCATATGAATGCTCTCCTTGGCATTTGCCATCACACTGAGTGGATTTCAAACTGAGTACAGTGCTGAGTGAATAAGAAAGAAAAATAAAAATGGAATATCCAATTACTTTAAGTATGTCCTAACCGAAAACAGAATTCTCTGATAATCATATCTCCATCCAGCATGGCAAAAGGTTAGCAGGCAGATGAGAATGGATTGCCAGTTATGGCCCCTGATTTTTCTTAATCCAGTATATTATTTGCAGCATGCAAATAACAACAATGCCAACAGAACAGTTTCCAAGTTTTGCTATGATAATACTCTACACCTTTCCATGTGTGGAAATATTATTGGTAGTGGTAGCAAGTGTCCTGGTATTTTAAATTCTGACTTGGGATCAATTAAACATCAAGACAAAAACAAATATCACAAATAAAAAGTTAAAAGGTACTTCTGGGAAACAGAAAACTGTGATGTTCTTTATTTTTATGCACTGATGATAAAAGAAGTCTACAAAGCAAACATACACTCTAGTGTAAAGGGCGACATGTTTTCTAGCATATTAATTTCTAGCATGGTAGAATGTGAATGAATTAACCAAAAAAAGAAATGAGAGAGCTAAACAGAAGGAGTGGCTGCCTTTGGAACACATACACAATAGATATTATCAAGGGACAACTTAGCATTCTACATTCTTTGTGTTTTTCTGGCATTACTGTAATCCAAATATATACAATCTTAAATTTGCATTTCAAAAATAAAATAAAATAAATACATTTTAGGAATTAAATCTCATTGTCACATTGAAATACATTAACATATGTTCTGAGAAATAACAAAAGGGCTTTTATATTATGGTTTTTCTTGAGAATTTAAGTTTATGATTCAAAAAATGTGTATCAATAAACTAAATATTCCTTAGTTGTTTCTCTTATTGAGTTGTTACTATAGACCTAAAGGTAGCTGCTAGGAATGTTTTATGCTGAATTAACCAGATTATTGAATATTAGACATATTAGGAGTAAGTTTTTAATATGTTGTCCAAAATCAGACCTACACTGTCAATATTCCGTAATCTCTTAACACGTCCCCTGATACAAAAGATTCATTGCAGTCTGTAATGACGTTTACCTGGAAGAGGTCATATCTTTTAATCCTTCCAGCTGCTTATACATTTCTATAGCAGGGATGAATTTTTAATTTGCATTGTATTTTCATGGGCATGTGGGTACTACGTTTAAATATTTAATTATTTTAAAAATAAAATAGGAAAGATAAAATAGCTTAAAGTGTATTGATGCTCTGAATAACTTTATGAGTGAATAGATACTGAAATTTGAAGTCAGTGTTTTGCACAACAAATCAAGATTTGGGACTGGACTTACTGGGTTGGGGACTTCTTAGGGATAACGGTGGTGCTATGAGCATGCTGGAAAGATGAGAAGCAAAAGCCTGGAATTGGGAGTCCTGTACTGTCTTTAGGGTATGCAAAGAGGCTCCTTCTTTCTAGGTGTTCATCAGTACAATATGACCACTGAAGGGCAAAATTTCCTGTCTTGACCCCAGGATGTTAAAAGAAAGAACAATAAAAGTTTTGTTTCTTCTAAGCAAAGTTTTGTGATCTAACAGTTGATGACTCTAGCCAAGAGCAAGATGTTTGTCTTCTGAAAACCAGGCTTGTAACCCACCCATGCTAGGGTACTAGCTAACATAACCTTGGGCATTTTTTTTTTTAACTTTTTAAGCCAAAATTTTTTCATCTATACAATGGTAGTAAAATGCTATCCAACTCACAGGGTTATCTGAGTCTTAAAGTTGTCCGTTAGGTACCCTGCATCTTTAAGCCTTTGGTTGTTTGTTATCATTACCATTCTTCTCAGAAAAGAGGGAAATTAAGTTTATCATTTACAAATATAGAAGAAAGATGAGTAACAAAGAACTAAATGATTTTTCAATTCACACTGATCAAGTCCTTTTGACTTTTTAAAATTAACTTCATTCGAAATACTTTTATATACATGATAGAGTATTTCATTTGTTCTTTATATTAACCCTAAAAAATAAATTGGATGATTCTGGTCTTCAGTATGGTACAAGTAGGGGAAGAAGATGTGGAATTGTGGTCATCTCTGCTTCCTTGGAAGTAAAGAGCAGAATACACAGAGAAAAACCAAACTCACAACTTCTTAATAAGGTAGGAATATACTTTATATGTTTTCAAAAAATAAAGTTTCAAACACTCCTATATAGCAAGAAATAAATTATTTGAAATTTAGGAGGGAAAATATAGAGTATATCTCATCAGTTAAAAATAGTAATTTTGCCAAACAGATGTTGGCAGTTAGGAAATCTTTTAAAAACTCACATATTCTATGTTTTATAAAGTTTTATTTCTACTTCCTCTAAATAGCATAATATAATCTGATCTAACGTTTTCTAACGTTGAAGAATAAATTATTATAAATTGAGAGAACATCATTCTTTTATTTTTTGATTTCATTACTCTGACCTAAATTTAGAAAACAAATTATTTTTAATGATCAAAAGCTACCTCATTCTCATCACTGACTAGATTCATTCATAAAAGAATTGCATCTGTAACACAAGTTTTACAGTTAATTTTATGAAGAGTGAATAGAACAATATATATGTTTCTGGCATTCACAAATTCCCTCAAGGTCATTACAACTTATTTTTCCAGCTGTATCTCTGATTATTATTACACGTGCATTTTGCTTTTAAATAACAACTAAAAGTATTTAATTCATCAATTTTTTTTGCCTGTCTACAGAGTCCAAACACTATGCTAGATGCATGGAAATCTATAAAGACAGGAGAGATCTTTGCACTTGTCACATGTATTCTAGAAAAGAAAAGACGCATAAACAACAAATTGAAACACAAGAACATTATAAATGATAGAGGAACAAATGCTTTGCCAAAGTGAAAAATGTATGTGTTTTATTTTGGTAAGAGGTGGAAACCACTGAAGTTTTGAAAACAGACAATAATCTAAGAATGGAGAAAATCTACAGTTCAATTTTTTAAAAAATCTACAGTTCAATTAAAAAAATTCACCTTGCATTGTAATTTACCTTGAATTATTTTGAATGTCCTAATAACATAATCAGGGTATTTTGTTAGCAGAAATTTTACATAATTTTAAAAATCATATGAGTCTTAGGATTTGGGATTTATAATTTGTAACTGTAAATGTGTGAAACATACAAACATGTGGGTTAGAACATGCTCCTTTAGCTAAGAGGAGTTTGTTATTACCTACCTTCTGAAGCCTTCTTCTGTCAATTCGTCAATCTCATTCTCTGTCCAGTTTTGCACCCTTGCTGGAGAGTTGTTGTGATCATTTAGAGGAGAAGAGGCATTCTGGCTTTTGAAATTTTCAGCATTTTTGCGCTGATTTTTCCTTATCTTCATGGAGTTATCTACCTTTGATCTTTGAGGCTGATGACCTTTGGCTGGAGTTTTTGTGTGGGGGTCTTTTTTGTTGATGTTGTTGTTGTTGTTTTCTGTTTGTTAGTTTCTCTTCTGCCAAGCCCTTCTTCTGCAGGTCAGCTGCAGTTTGCTGGAGGTCCACTCCCAGACCCTGTTCACCTGGGTATCATCACTGGAGGCTGCAGAACAGCAAAGACTGCTGCCTGCTTCTTCCTCTGGAAGCTTTGTCCCAGAGGGGCACCAACCTGACGCCAGCCAGAGCTCTCCTGTATGATGTGTCTGTCGACCCCTGTTGGGAGGTCTCTCCCAGTCAGAAGGCACGGGGGTCAGGACCCACTTGAGGAGGCAGTCTGTCCCTTAGCAGAGTTGGTGCGCTGTGCTGGGAGAATCCCCCTTGTCAGGATCAGCTGCTCTCTTCAGAGCCAGCAGGCAGGAAAGATTAAGTCCACTGAAGCTGTGCCTGCAGCTGCCCCTCCCTCCATGTGCTCTGTCCCAGGGAGATGAAGGTTTTATCTGTAAGTCCCTGACTGGGGCTGCTGCATTTCCTTCAGAGATGCCCTGCCCAGTGAGGAGGAATCTAGAAAAACAGTCTGGCCACAGCTGCTTTGCCGCGCCTCTTTGGCACTGTCACGGGAAAACCACCTACTAAAGCCTCAGTAATGGCGGATACTCATCCCTTCACCAAGCTCATCAACCCAGGTGGACTTCATTCAGGCTGCTGTGCTGGCAGTGAGAATTTCAAGCCAGTGGTTCTCAGCTTGTTGGGCTCCATGGGAGTGGGACCTGCTGAGTGAGACCACTTGGCTCTCTGGCTTCAGCCCCCTTTCCAGAGGAGTGGCCGGTTCTTCTGTCTCACTGGGATTCCAGGCACCGCTAGGGTACAAAAAAGGACCTCCTGCAGCTAGCTCAGTGTCTGCCCAAACAGCCGCTCAGTTGTGTGCTTGACACCCAGGGCTCTGGTGGTGTAGGCTCATGAGGGAATCTCCTGATCTGCGGATTGCAAAAATCCGTGGGAAAAGCGTAGTACCCAGGATGGGTAGCACAGTCCTTCACGGCTTCCCTTGTTTTGGGGGAGGGCAGGTCCCCCGGCTCCTTGCGCTTTCTGGGAGAAGCGACGTCCCACCCTGCTTCTGCTCGCTCTCTGTGGGTTGCACCCACTGCCTAACCAATCCAGTGAGATGAACTGGGTACCTTAGTTGGAAATGCAGAAATCAACTACCTTCTGTGTTGGTCTCGCTGGGAGCTGCAGACCAGAGCTGTTTCTATTCGGCCATCTTGGCCCCTCCAAAAAGGGCTTCCTTTTTTACACTTAAGAAATTGTTAAGGGACTAGCACTATCATATTCTGCCTTGAATCTAGTCGTGAACATGGTATTTTGCTGACTCATATTAGGTATGAGACAGTTCAGTTGTGAGTGACAGAAAACCCAAACTAACTATGTCTTAAATAGAAAGAGGCTTCTTATTTGGGTAAATGTGTGACTACGCAGAAGGTGCTGATAAATCAGGGCCCCAGGTATCCTCTGTCTCGTTACCCAGTGTATATACCTGATCCCACGGTCCAAGATGGCAGCCTCTGAGTTCCTGGAAGGATGGAGGCAGGGATGAAGAGGGGAGAAGAGGATGTGTGGATACTCTCTGTTAAAAAAAAATTCCTAGGAACCACCATGTGACACTTTTGCTTATATGCCTTTGACCATTTGAGAGTCTCATCAACAATAGTTGGCCACATCTATTGTTGGGAATGAGAGGTTGGGAAATATATTTAGCTAATAATCTCTTTAATATGAAAACAGATGGAAAGGATGTTGGGTAACAGTTAAAAGTCCTGACTATAACTCTTAATAAATATTTGTTGAATTATTGAGAACATGCATTTATTAATCACTGGCTTTATGGCCAATACATGACTAAACATCCTTTGTATAATCTTCACAACAATTTTAAGAGGCCATCTATTTTTGTTGACTCTTTGTATATAAAGAAGACATACCTTTGAGTGGCCCAGTAACTTTGTTCAAGGTGACAGTCAATGGCCAGTAGAACCCAGGATCACTGATCTTGAACATCCTCTTCCTTCACCATATAATATAACTGCTTATGTAAATGTGCTTCACTTGCATTACATTTAAACATCCAGAGAACAGGTAATGTGGTTTATCCTCACTTTATTTATTAATGCATTCAAATATATTTACTGAGCAAATAAAAAATATTCTCAGTCTTGGGGATATGAAAACATTATGATAGCATATCTGTTTCATTTTTTTATGAAAGGTTAGTCACTAGTCACCAGTCACTGAGATTGACGAGAATACAAAGAGAGCCAACAAATAGTATTCCTGCCCTCATGCAGCTTACCTAATAAACAATATCTTACATAGTCTAATTACTAGCTGCGGCAAGGGCTGTGCTAGAAAAGAACAAGAAGCTGTGAAAATATATATTAGAATGGAATCTAGTTGAGGAGAGGGATAGGGTTAGGGAAAGCTTCCCTGAGGAACTGGCATCTATACAGCAATTGGCACATGGGAAATAATAAATATATTGAATGAATGAATAAATTCATTAATTTAAATGAAGTTGGGGGTCTCTTGGGAATATGTTTTTTCTAAGCATGGAAAAAAAGAATGAAGTACCCTTCAAGAAGTCCCATGTGGCTGGAACTCACAGAGTAAATTCCTCACATTTCCCAGAACATAATTGCTTGTTGAATGAAATCAAATAGCTTTTTCTCTCTGAAATGTCCACAGAATGAAGTAGAAAACTTCCATATAAGATAATTTGAAATGTTTTCTCCACTCCAATAAGCCCACATGGGCAGAGAAAACTTATATATTGTCCAAATAGCTCTCTACAAATAGTAGCTGCTCAACAAATATTCATTCATCTACTGTAGATTTGAGACTCAGAAAAACATTCCAAAAAGTATCAGATAATGCATTGATGTTTCAAAATTTATGTACATCTTTCCAAATCCAGGCTAATGCATGCTCTTAAAAAAAAGAAGCTAAGATACATTGGCAATTCTATTTAAATGTCTGGGTTTTTTGTTTGTTGTTTGTTTTGTTTTGTTCTGTGAGAATCACATTTTGGTTTAAGAGCTTCTGGAAAGCTGACATTATGTAAAAATACTGGCTTAGGCTGGGCCCCTGCAAAGAAAAGTAAGATAAAAATATTCACATATACTTCTAAAATTCAGTACTTCATCTCTTAACAACACTAATGATAGTAATAAACTAAGGAGACCTGCATTGAACATAGTTTTTCTTTTTTTAATCTGAGAAATGAAAATACAGCCCATGTATTATGAATTCAGAGAAATAAATGTTTCAAAGTGATTGAAGCATTAAGTATATAATAGAAGCAAGAAAATGTGACAGGCTATTTGTGGGGGGAAAAAGGAGAGCTTGATTATTTTCTTCAAGAGCCAAAATCATAACAAAATAAAGTGATCTATACCAAGTACACTAGCATTAGGATGAAATAGCTACCACTTTAATTAAATATATCAGTTTTGGGAAAACAGCAGCAGTGGTAGCAAAAACATCAAAAGCAAATACATGGAGAAAATGTAACCAACATATGATATAAAAAAGAAATGTTCTGAAAAAGGCATTAAAGGAGAATAAATACACTCATTTAGAACCTCAAAGTTCAGTGTATCTCTTCTCTAGAGTCCTGCAAAATGATACTTTCAGGTGAGCTATAGTCTCAGAAACTGTTTTGATGAAAATGGAAATAGGAGAAGATGAAACTTCATTTAGAAGTTCCCAAATGTTCCCTAACTATCTCTTTCAACTCTAAGTGGATGTCACTCAACCTCCCACTCCACTAGATGGGGCCATGGGACTCATAAATGGCCAACGGCTTAGAAGCAGAAGTGTCACATGGCAGTGGTGTCCATTTAATCCACTTCCACTCTCTATCCAGAGCAACAAGTAATTTTCCAACTCAATGCTATACACCCTTATCAGGATTTTTCTCCAAGTTAATCAAAAAGCCGATGAACTCCTTTTCTTGAATTTGATAGATATCTTAGTAGTTAATGATGCATCCTCAAGCTCTCTTAGTATTTCATCTTTTATTTTTATTTCAACAGCTGCCAGTCTAGTTTAGGCCCTCCTTATATCTGCCTCCAGGCAGTTAGCTGTAAAAGCCTCCTAGCTGGTATCCTTGCTCATAGGTTCCCCTCTCTCTAAAGCACAATTCAACAATTATTCCATTAAATTTTACTGAAAGCTTCATCAGCACTAGGCATTGTGTTAGGTATTCAGAACACGGACCACTTACATGTCATCTTCCTAAACTCTAGTTCTGACAGTATCAATACCCTTCCATAATCAAGTGCCACCTTAGTCTAAATGTGATGTATTTTCACATTTTGGCATCTCCTTACCTTTTCAATCTTTTATCCTCCTATTACCCCTACAGATATGCAACTCTTCACTATAATAAGACTTTACTCTGATGTCCGTTGAGCTTTCTCCATCCCCAGTGCGACTTTGTTTATTCTATTCTCTCTGTCTGGAATAACTTCCTTAATGTCATCCTCAAAGATGCTAAATATGCTAAACCATCTTTAATAATTAAAATGTAAATGGATTTTCGATGTTTTCATTATATTCCAGTTGCACAGAAAACAAGTATTTCTTAAGAACTCCTAGGACCCAGTTAAAAATTTAACAGTAAAACATTTAAAGCCTGGTCTTATGAGGTTGTGAATATTTTCACAACCCTTTTACTATTTAGTCATAACTTAATTATTGAAGGCCTCATGTTGTAGGCAAAAATCCAATCCCTTGGAAACAATTAAGCATTATTACCATTTTTAGTTCATGGAGGAATGTGGATTCCACCTAAGGATGTCACTAGTAGAGGCAGGTTAATAATAAAATACCATCAAGGCAGCATAGATTGTTATGTTTTGGATTTGTAATGTCTTGATGCCATCCATTGCTTTAAAATGTTTCACACTGATGTCTCATTTTGAAGAGCAATATGCTTTTCTCCAGCATTTTGACTTATTTAATGAAGTTGTTTCTAATAATAAAAGGACACATCTTAGGTGAAGTATGTCTCTTTTGCTAGACTATGAGTTCCATCACGGTAGTGATTTCTACATTTTCTCGGGATAACCAATATCAAAATTCGCTGGGGGTATCTGCCCGTTATGTGTTCCCCTGGGTTCCAAATCTCACCTCCTAAATAAGAAACTTTAAGGTTGGGAACCATATTTAAAAAGCTCTTCAGATAATTTTTATGTGGTTAAAATTTGAGAACCATTGCCCCAGGCTAGAGATGAATGAACTGCTTGTTTATGGAAAATTCAAATTTTGGCCAGGCATGGTGGCTCATGCCTGTTATCCCAGCACTTTGGGAGGTCGAGGTGGGTGGATCACGAGCTCAAGAGACCGAGACCATCCTGGCCAACATGGTGAAACCTTATCTCTACTGAAAATACAAAAAAAATAGCTGGGCGTGGTGGTGCGTGCCTGTAGTCCCAGCTACTTGGGAAGCTGAGGCAGGAGAATCGCTTGAACCCGGGAGGCGGAGGTTGCAGTGAGCTGAGATTGCACCACTGCACTCCAGGTTGGCGACAGAGCCAGACTCTGTCTCAAAAAAACAAAAAAAAAAAGAAAAAAGAAAATTAAAATTTTATGGGATATAACAGTTACTTAATATAGCCTTAAGAAAATCCAAGACTGCCCCACAGTCACTAACAGTGTCCACTGCTCCCCCTCAAAATAAAAGGGAACTACCAAGAGTTGTCAAAGAGAGGATAGTGAAGAGGTTACAAATGCTTTAGGGCTGCCCCTCACACTAGCTGCCTGGGTTTGACTCCCAACTTTTCAACTTACTAAGTTTAGTAAACATAGACAATTTATTTAGCTTTCTGTGCCTAGATTTCTCCACCTGAATAATGGGGATAAGAACAATACTGGTTAGACGGAATTACAGTCAATACATGCAGAGCAGTTGAAACTGCAGCACATAGTGCTGAAGTGCTAACTGTTAGATCTTAAAGCTAATACATAACACTACGGACAATGAAACTAATTTCTAACCTAAATATGGAAAATATATAACTTTTTCTACAATTAAGTCTAACTACATTCAATTAGTTTTAAGCAACAACAACAAACTCCCTTAAATAGAAATGGTTTTAAATTAATAGCCTCTTCAAAAAAGTAAACCTTTCAGAATCAGACCACGTGGCTTAGTACTGTCACATTTTCAACACAAGGAGGTTTTCAGTGAGGCACTGGGGCAGAACAAATTTGCACAGTGTCTGCTGTGGACATAAGGGATTTCTTCAGCCCTATGCAAATAGTAATCCCACTAGTTCCCAGAAGATAAACATGAAGAGACAACGAAACCTTTAGCTCAGATGCTCACTTACTTCTGCTTCTCTGAATTTCTCACCTTTGGGGACTTGAGAACAGGCTGCCAGTAAACTTTCTATGCTCTTGCAAGAAGCCCTGATGCAGTTCTATTAGAACTAATTGTTACATTAGAGGCAATATGAGAATCTAATTCATAAATAGCATTTCCCATAGGCAGGTCTCATAAGCAATTTTAATACCTTTTGTTGAGATAGTTTCAGATTCGCAAGGGAATACTGGAGAGTGCATTTACCAACATAGGAGAAGAGTTACAATAAGAAACTCTCAAAAATGATAGGAACTCAAAAATGATAGGAACTCAGCGTGCTAACTCCTTTAGTCCTAAGTGCCAGAAATAGGGATACAGAGTCCAGGGGCAATTTAACTGGTCATGTGAAGAGATATCAAGACGGAACCAGAGTGAATTTGCCATGAATGTGACTGAGGTAGATTGTAAAACCAGAGGTTCTCAATTTTGAATTTTTTTTATGATAAAAGCAAGTTGTTACCTTCAATCAATTCAGATTTTCTCCATTTCACTGTACCATATCATAAACTAAATAAAAAGAAGGTATTTTGGTAATATTCATGAAACAAATGGAAACCAACTGAACAAGAAGGCATTTAAAATCTCAAACTTTGTAAATATAATAGCGAAATTAGAAAAGTTTTCCTCATGGTCAAAATGTATAGCAAGTATATTTAAAAAGTCTTTTATATAATAAGCTTGGTTAAACTGAATTGTCTACTGAGAGTCTGCTAAACTCATGCTAGTAGATGCTAAAAACTGTGTTAAAGTAATTCTCTATAACTCTTTGTGTTCTGTATTTTATGAGAAACAGTAATAAAAATAGTTTGTATATCTGACATTTTTACAAGGGTAAATATTACAAATTTCATAAGCTATAAATATACTAGTATTTTAGAGCTTCTTTTCTAAAATAAGTTAATCTTGGAGAAGATAATTTTACATTAACAATATTACATCTAAAGTTTCTAAACTCATGGTGTGATTATAATAATACATTTATAAAAATGTGCAAGAAGCTAAATCAAACATTTATTCTTTTAACATTTGAGGAAAAAAAAAACAAAAACAAACAAACAAAAAACAGAAGTGGGATAGGAGAAGGCAGAAGTTTTACAAGGTTTAACTGGTAGACTTCCTGGCAAACATCCTACAAATACTGCCCAAGCCCATCTAGCCTTGCCTATAAAAGTGGTTTGCAGTGATTATGGAGTAAAGTATGGGTCACTAGGATTTACAGGAAGTATGGTTCCTCTGCTCTCTGGATTGGTGAGGCACTCCCCGTATAAATATAAATGCACCACATGTGGTACCAATGGATCATGCTTAGCCAATTAAAATGTGAATCTATAACAGCCGAACATAGTAAACTGAGTCGCCAGGGCATTCTTAGTATCACACAGTGCAGAATAATTGCCATGTGAAAACAAATACTATCTTTCTCCTTTTTTTTTTTTGTTCAGTATTCCCTATTCTTCTATTAGTCAATTACTGACATCTATTTAACATAGTTTTATTTAAAGGTGCCATGGGAATAGACTTAAACTAACTCTGATTCCTACTCTCAAGTTGTTTATGGTATAGGAGGAGAAGGAAAAGCAAACAATGACTATAAAGGTATTTTAGTTACTATGATTTTGATATATAGTTGACCGAGTGGGATAAAAGGATTGTAGTCACTTCTACCTTTGAAGATAAAAGGCAGGGCTTTCAGGGATTACTTCACAGAGAAGGGAATGATGGGGCTGAATCTAAAGAAGACTGGAAGCTGGTCAATAGATGAACCATGCAGTGCATGTATTGAAGCGCAGAGGCAGAATAAGCTGGATTAATTTGAAGAACAGCAAGAAATTCAGTTTAGTGAGGCACTGGGTACTCAAAGTGGGAGAGGAAGCAGAAGAGATTTCAGATGCAGCCTTTTTTTTTTTTTTTTTTTCAGACGGGGTCTCGCTCTGTGGCCCAGGCTGGAGTGCAGTGGCACAGTCTCAGCTCACTGCAACTTCTGTACCCCAGATTCAAGTGATTCTCCTGCCTCAGCCTCCCAAGTAGCTGGGACTAGAGGTGTCTGCCACCACAACCGGCTAATTTCTGTATTTTTAGTAGAGACGGGGTTTCACCATATTGGCCAGGCTGGACTTGAGCTCCCAACATCATGATCCACCTGCCTCAGCCTCCCAAATTGCTGGGATTACAGGTTTGGGCCACCATGCCCAGTCCCAGATGCAGCTTTTTAAAAATACAGAGCAACTGCTATATGGTTCATCATGTATTCCAAAGAATCTAGAGTTAAGATCTAAAACACAGCTTTTTAGAGAAAAAAGGCAAGCAATACAATATGCACTACCACTACTATAACTGTGGTAAATGACCAAATAATTTCAGACAAAACATACTTTTCAGGACAGAAGCATTAAGACATCTTTACTTAATGCATAGTGCTTTTTTAATTTAAAAAGAAACATCTGTTTAAAAACACACAACTATGTATGAAAAACTCATTTCTAATAAACAATTCAAATAGAAATCATAATTTTCCACCTGGGATCATAGTTTAAAAAATATCATTAGAAAAAGAAATATATTAATGTCCAGATATAATTAGCTTTAAAGAGGTGTATGGTAAGAATGGGAATATAGTTTAGTATATATTGGCATGTAGTATTTTTCTTCAACAGAAAAGGCTAAAATATTTTCCACTTGAATAAGGCAGTATTAAAAACGAATTAGATTGTATGTAATTCAGCTTCTGTAACTAGAAAAAAGGCTGAAAATGAAAAAAAAAATCTACTTCTTAAATCCTGGTCTTTTGAAAATGATTTTTGTATCTGAAAAAGCTCCAGGTGTCTATAAATATCAAAAACGTTTTTATACACATTACATACAGACATATGAAATGAAATAGATGATTAGTTCTTTTTTTGTAGCATTCTCAATCCCACTGTTAACAAAGTTGTTAAAAAAATCCATGTGTGAAATTTGTACTACAGAAATTTATAACAATTTATGCTCACTTAATTCCCTTTTGGGCCGATATATTCTACATTAACTATAATTTTCTTAAAAATGCAGAAGGTATATGGTTTTGCATTTAAATATATTAAGTTTTATAACAAAGAAAAATCAAATAGCCATTTAGAAACATTAACTGTTTCATGACTGATGGATAATGCTTACTTGTGAGTTGCTGCCAAGGCTGTCTGCCTGAAGTTCAGAGAATTTTCATGGGTTACTTATTTCCCATTATCTTTCCTCATTTTCTTCACTGTTCTTTCCTCTCCCTCCAGCCTAGGTGGTCATCACTACTTGCAGTTCCAACAACAAGGTTCCCACATCATCAAGCAAAAGTGTTTTTTATTTTATTTATTTATATTTTTACTGTAACTCAGGGCAGTACAAACCTAAGATTTATAAGGAGACGAGACATATTTTTACTGTGAAGTCTGAGCATGACCTGCACTAGGCCTGTGGAGCAATTTAGAAGTTTCTATTTTTACCAAGTGTAAATTGGTACCAGTAGAGTGGGGCACTGCTGAAAAAATACCTGAAAATGTGGAAGCAACTTTGGAATGGGGTAACAGGCAGAGGTTGGAACAGTTTGGAGGGCTCAGAAAAAGACAGAAAAACATAGGTAAGTTTGGAACTCCCTAGAGAATGGTTGAATGGCTTTGACCAAAATGCTGATAATGACATGGACAATGAAATCCAGGCTGAGGTGGTCTCAGATGGAGATGAGGAACTTGCTGGGAACTGGAGCAAAGGTGACTCTTGTTATGCTTTATTAAAGTGAGTGGCAGCATTTTGCTCCTGCTCTAGAAATTTGTGGAACTTTGAACTTGAGAGAGATGATTTAGGGTATCTGGCAGAAGAAATTTCTAAGCAGCAAAGCATTCAAGAGCTGTATTGGGTGCTGTTAAAGGCATTCAGCTTTATAAGGGAAGCAAAGCATAAAAGTTTGGAAAATTTGCAGCCTGACAATGCAATAGAAAAGAAAAATCCCATTTTCTGAGGAGAAATTCAAGCCAGCTGCAGAAATTTGCATAAGTAATGAGGAGCTGAATGTTAATCCCCAAGACAATGGGGGAATTGTCTCCACAGCATGTTAGAGGTCTTCATGGCAGCCCCTCCCATCATAGGCCTGAAGGCCTAGGAGGAAACAGTGGTTTTGTGGGCTGGGCCCAGGGTCCCCGGTGCTGTGTGCAGCCTAGGGACTTGGTAATAAATCGTTACAAATTTCTGTAGTACAAATTTCACATACGGATTTTTTTATGAAGTCAATAATTGGGGTTTGGGAAACACTGCCTAGATTTCAGAAGATGTATGGAAATGCCTGGATGCCCAGGCAGAAGTTTGCTGCAGGGGTGAGGCCCTCATGGAAAACCTCTGCTAGGGCAGTGCAGAAGGGAAACGGGGGGTAAGAGCCCCCACACAGAGTCCCCACTGGGGCACCACCTAGTGGAGCTGTGAGAAGAGGGCCACCATCCTAGAGACCCCAAAATGGTAGATCCCCCAACAGCTTGCACCGTGTGTCTGGAAAAGCCACAGATGCTCAAAGGCAACCTGTGAAAGCAGCCAGGAGGGAGGCTGTACCCTGCAAAGCCACAGAGGAGAAGATGCCCAAGACCATGGGAACCCACCTCTTGCATCAGCTTGACATGGATGTGAGACATGCAGTCAAAGGAGACCATTTTGGAGCTTTAAGATTTGACTACCCCAATGGATTTTGGACTTGCCTGGGGCCAGTAGCCCCTTTGTTTTGGCCGATTTCTCCCATTTGGAATGGCCGTATTTAACTAATGCCTGTATCACCACTGTATCTAGGAAGTAACTAAGTTGCTTTTGATTTTATAGGCTCATAGGCTGAAGGGACTTGGTTTTTTTCAGATGAGACTTTGGACTGCAGACTTTTGAGTTAATGCTGAAATGAGTTAAGACTCTGGGGGACTGTTGGGAAGGCATGATTGGTTTTGAAATGTGAAGACATGAGATTTTGGACAGTACACAGGCAGAATGACAAGGTCTGGCTCTGTGCCCCCATCCAAATCTCATCTTGTAGTTCCCATAATTTCCACATGTGTGGGAGGGACCCAGTGAAAGATAAGTGAATCATGGGAGCGGGTCTTTCCCATGCTATTCTCATGATAGTGAATAAGTTACAAGATCTGATAGTTTTAAAAACGGGAGTTTCCCTGCACAAGCTCTCTCTCTTTTTGCCTGCCACCATCCACGTAAATGTCACTTGCTCCTCCTTGCCTTCCACCATTATTGTGAGGCCTCCCCAGCCATGTGGAACTGTAAGTCCATTAAACCTCTTTCTTTTGTAAATTGCCCAGCCTCGGGTATGTCTTTATCAGCAGCATAAAAACAGACTAATACACCAAGTGACCCATGGTTTCAATGCACATTGAAGTTTGAGAAATAACTGTTTTTCCTCTCACAAATTCTATGGCACATAAAAAGGGAACATATTAAGATCATAGCCACATTTCTAAAAAGGTAAGAGAGTTCCAAACCCAATTTTCTCAGTGATAAAATACTAGAACTGAAAAAACAACTGGTGAATTAACTTTCGAAAGAAAAATTGTGACATTGCCCTAGTATTATACTATATCATACACATCAAATATATCAGCACACAACGGTAATACATAGTATAATGGAAATTTCTTTCCTTGTATTATGTAAATATTATGTTAATGTAGTTTTTACTTTAATAAAAGTCCTAATAAAAATAGGCTGTTTGGATATAATATAATTCAAATGGAGTAGTTAGCAAACCATGTAAGGCCAGGCCACATATGTTTTGTGTTATGTTTACCCAGCTTACTTTTATCTTTTCTGGATTCAGAGCATCCTGAAAGTAGGTGTTATCTTTTCTCTACTGCCTAGTAGTGGATAGAGTGTAGAGTACACATTCATGAGTAAATGTTTGTGGAATACATGAATAAATTAATAGCTGGAAATTCAATGTATATGTATTCTAGAAAAACACACATAAACACATATATATAAATAAAAATCAACCCATAAATTTAAAAAATAAAATTAATATTTTACTACAAATAGCTATAAAAGAAAAGAAAAACACAGAGAAATTGACACTGCATATCTTGAAAATAAATAAGAAATAGTTATACTGGCTGACCCTCAGTTAGTTAGCAAAGCACCCAGAATTTAAAATACACTTGTTATAATCCAAGACATATTTCTATAATTGTGCAAAGTTGCTAATTCTAACATGTTAATCAGAAAGAAAAACTGATATTCTAGGATGCTGATGAGCTAATGTTTAATGTAGTGGTTAATTATTAGTTGGAAAAAATCTACATAAAGAAATAAAGCTCCAAAAAACTAGAAATCTGAAAAAAAAAAAAAACTTGTTTAACTGCATTTACCAACTCTTTAAATCCAGAACCAGTTATGAGCATTGTGGTACTATTAATAATTGCATGCTGAACATATAAATGTAAAATGGCAATTTCAATTTTCGTTTCATCAAGACAATGAAGAAAATGAAATTGAATACTAATTAGTGCATGTTTGTCATACACCTGAAAGATTAGGGGGTTACTGTGCTCATTATAAGTGAGTTTAAGCGAAGTACTCAAAGGTTTCATTTGAAGGACTGAATATAAATAATAGACTTAGGTGACAAGGGAAATTAACAATGAATGATCAACACAGAAACTCTGGTATATCATTTGATTTCACAGAATGTCTTATAGGTGATTTAATCTTACAAAATTGATAAAGTTTTTTCTTCTAAAAAATAACTTAGAAAATATGTTATTAAAGAATGCATTAACAAAATATATATATTTGAACATAATCAGTAAGTAATTACTGAATAACAATGTTGAGACTAAGAAAATTACTCAAAACCATATGATCACATGGAAATTAAATAACCTACTCCTGAATGACTTTTGGGTAAATAAGTAAGGCAGAAATCAAGAAGTTATTTGAAACTAATGAGAACAAAACTACAACACTTCAGAATCTCTTGGACACAGCTAATGCAGTGTTAAGAGGGAAATTTATAGCACTAAATGCCCACATCAAAAAGTTAGAAAGATCTCCATTTAATAATCTAACATCACAACTAAAAGAACTAGGGAACCAAGAGCAAACCATTCCCAAAGCTATCAGAAGACAAAAAGTAACAAACTCAGAGCTGAACTGAAGTCTGAGACATGAAAAGCCATTCAAAAGATCAACAATTGTGAATGGGAGTTCACTCATGATTTGGCTCTCTGTTTGTCTATTATTGGTGTATAGGAAATACCTAGGGATATAACTTACAAGGGATGTGAAGGACCCTTTCAAGAAGAACTACAAACCACTCCTCAAGGAAATAACAGAGGACACAAACAAATGGAAAAACATTCCATGCACATGGATAGGAAGAATCAATATTGTAAAAATGGCCATACTGTCCAAAGTAATTCATAGATTCAATGCTATCCCCATCAAGCTACCACTGACTTTCTTCACAGAATTAGAATAAACAACTTTAAATTTCATACAGAACCAAAAAAAGCCTGTATAGTCAAGACAATCCTAAGCAGAAAGAACAAAACTGGAGGCATCACTCTACCTGACTTCAAACTATACTACAAGGCTACAGTAACCAAAACAGATATATAGACCAATGGAACAGAACAGAGGCCTCAGAAATAATGCCACACATCTACAACCATCTGATCTTTGACAAACCTGACCAAAACAAGCAATGGGGAAAGGATTCCCTATTTAATAAATGGTGTTGGGAAAACGGGCTAGCCATATGCAGAAAACTGAAACTGGACCCCTTCCTTACACCTTATAAAAAAATTAACTCAAGATGGATTAAAGACTTAAACATAAGACCTTAAAACCATAAAAATCCTAGAAGAAAACCTAGGCAATACCATTCAGGACATAGGCATGGGCAAAGACTTCATGACTAAAACAACAAAAAGCAATGACAACAAAAGCCAAAATTGACAAATGGGATCTAATTAAACTAAAGAGCTTCTGCACAGCAAAAGAAACTATTATCAGAGTGAACAGGAAACCTACAGAATGGGAGAACATTTTTGCAATCTATCCATCTCACAAAGGGCTAATATCCAGAATCTACAAAGAACTTAAACAAATTTACAAGAAAAAAAAACCCATCAAAAAGTGGTCAAAGGGATATGAACAGACACTTCTCAGAAGAAGACATTTGTGCAGCCAAAAATCATATGAAAAAAAAAGCTCATCATCACTAGTCATTAGAAAAGTAGAAATCGAAACCACAATGATACCATCTCACACCAGTTAGAATGGCGATCATTAAAAAGTCAGGAAACAACAGATGCTGGAGTGGATGTGGAGAAATAGGAACAATTTTATGCTGTTGGTGGGAGTGTAAATTAGTTCAACCATTGTGGAAGACAGTGTGGTGATTCCTTAAGGATCTAGAACCAGAAATACCATTTGACCCAGCAATCCCATTACTGGATATATACCCAAAAGATTAGAAATCATGCTGCTATAAAGACACATGCACATGTGTGTTTATTGCAGCATTATTCACAATAGCAAAGATTTGGAACCAACCCAAATGCCCATCAATGATAGACTGGATAAAGAATGAGGCACGTATACACCATGGAATACTATGCAGCCACAAAGAAGGATGAGTTCACATCCTTGGCAGGGACATGGATGAAGCTGGAAACCATCACTCTTAGCAAACTAACACAGGAAAAGAAAACCAAACACCACATGTTCTCAGTCATAAGTGGGAGCTGAACAATGAGACCACATGGAAACAGACAGGGGAACATCACACACTGGGGACTGTTGAGTGGGGCAGCTAGGGGAGGGATCGCATTAGGAGAAATACCTAATGCAGATGATGGATTGATGGGTGTAGCAAACCACCATGGCATGTGTATACATATGTAATAAACCTGCATGTTTTGCACATGTATCCCAGAACTTAAAGTATAATAAATTAAAAAACATCTGATAATATTTCTTAGCGATACCTATATTTCTTTGAGAAATTGTGTTTGTTTTTCAATAAATACACCAATTTTGATTTCAGTCTGAAAAATTCAGCTCAATTTACTCTGATAGTTTGGAAATAGTCCTGTTATGCTATTCCATTTAAATTGTTAAATATATTATTACTATTAGAAAATTATAGAACATGAGAACTTAAGGCCCTTTTTCTTTCGCCAAAAAAAATTAGTGGAAACCAAGTCATCTCACTTTTAGCTTGAATTGAAAACAAACCTACAACACCAATAGTTTTATTTTTAATTTGTGTAATCCTTTTAGAATTATTAATATTCAATCTGAGTTCAGTACATTGCTGATTGGACAACACTACATATCCTCCAATGGTAATTTAATGACAGTTACTAGTCCGACCTGTGTTGCAATAAACATACTATATTTTTGTATTTGAGAGCTTAAAAATACTGGTCATAAAGAAATTGTAAGAGCTGTGAATTAGGCTAATTATATATTTTTTGTAATCTTTAAAGTTCTGACAACTTGGATAAGATAATTAACCTGTTTGATTCAAGCTGTCTAAATTTATAAAGTGATGATAATTACACCTACTATATGGAATTATTCTGAGAATTAAATTTAAAAATCACCCAAAGAAGATTAAAAAATTCAAGAGGTTGTTACTGAAAAAACTAATAAAATAGATAGACTGCTAGCTAGATTAATAAAGGAGAAAAGGGAGAAGATCCAAATAAACACAATTAGAAATGACAAAAGAGATACTACTAATAACCATCAGCAACTGCTGTGAACACCTCTGTGCACACAAACTGGAAAGTCTAGAAGAAATGGATAAATCCCTGGAAATATACGCCCTCCCAAAACTGAGTCAGGATGAAATTCAAATGAGTAGACAAATAAGAATCTCTGAAATTGAATCAGTAATAGATAGCCTACCAACCAAAAAGAGCCCAGGCCCACATGGATTCACAGCTGAATTCTACCAGATATACAAAGAAGAGCTGGTAGCATTTCTACTAACACTACTCCAAACAATCGAGGAAGAGGGACTCCTTCCTAACTCATTCTACAAGGCTAACATCATCCTGATACCAAAACCAGGCAGAGACAAAACAAAAACAGAAAACTTCAGGACAATATTTTGATGAATATCAATTCAAAAATCCTCAACAAAATACAAGCAAATTGAATCCAATAGCACAACTAAAAGCTTATCCACCATGATCAAGCAGGCTTTATCCCCAGGATGCAAGGTAGGTTCAACATATGTAAATCAATAAGAGTGAATAATCACATAAACATAACTAAAGACAAAAACCACATGATCATCTCAATAGATTCAGAAAAGCCTTCCAATAAAATTTAACACCTCTCATATTAAAAACTCTCAATAAACTTGGTACTGAAAGAACATACCTCAAAATTATGAATCACCTATGATAAACCCACAGCCAACATCATACTAAATGAGCAAAAGATGGAAGCATTCCTCTTGAAAACAGAAATGAGACAAGGATGCCCTTTCTCATCACTCCTATTCAACATAGTATTGGAAGTCCTGGCCAGGGCAATCAGGCAAGAGAAAAAAGTAAAAGCCATCCAAAACGGGCAGAGAGGAAGCCAAAGTATCCCTGTTTGCAGAGGACATGATTCCATATCTAGAAAACCCCACAGTCTAGGCCCGAAGGATCTAGGAAACCCCACAGTCTAGGCCCGAATGATCCTTAAGCTGATAAACACCTTCAGCAAAGTCTCAAGGTAAAAAATCAACATACAAAAATTACTGGCATTCCTATATAGCAACCACAGTCAAGCCAAGTGCCAAATCAGAAATGCCATCCCACCTACAATTGCTAAAACAAAACAAAACAAAACAAAAAAAAAACGAAAAAACCCTCCTAGGAATACAGCTTATCAGGGAAATAAACAATCTCTACAATGGGAACTAGAAAACACTGGTCCAAGAAATCAGAGATAACACAAACAAATGGAAAAACCATTCCATGCTTGTGGATACGAAGAATCAAAATCATTACAATGGCCATACTGCCCAAAGCAATTTATAGATTTCAATGCTAATCCTATCAAACTCCCAATGACATTATTCACAGAATTAGAAAATACTATCTTAAAATAGCCAAGACAATCCTGAAGACAACAACAAAAATAAAACCCCCCAAAAGCTAGAAGTATCACATTACCTGACTTCAAACTATACTATAGGGCTACAGTAACCAAAAGTACTGTTTTGATACTGATACAAAAACAGACATATATTCCAATGGAACAGAATTGAGAGACCAGAAATAAGGTTGCACACCTACAACCATCTGATCCTCCACAAAGCTGACAAAAACAAGCTATGGGGAAAGAACTCCCTAATCAATAAATGATGCTGGGATAGTGGTTAGCCATAGGCAGAAGATTGAAACTGGACCCTTTCCTTACACTATATACACAAATCAACTCAAGATGGATTAAAGACTTAAATGTAAAATCCAAAGCTATAAAATCCCTGAAAGACAACCTAGGCAATACCATTCTGGACAGAGGAAATGGCAAATATTTCATGACAAAGAGACGGAAAACAATTGCAACAAAAGCAAAAAATGACAAATGGGATCTAATTAAACTAAAGAGCTTCTGCACAGAAAAAGGAACTATCAACACAGTGAACAGACAACCTACCGAATGGAAGAAAACTTTTTCAAACTATGCATCTGATAAAGGTCTAATATTCAGCATCTATAAGAAACTTAAATTTTCAAGAAAAAAAACAAACAACTTCATTAAAAAGTGGGCAAAGGACATAAACAGACAATTTTCAAAAGAAGACATACATGCAGCCAACAATCATAGGAAAAAAACCCTCAAAATCAGTTATCATTAGAGAAATGCAAATGAAACCACAATTAGATACCATCTTACAACAGTCAGAATGGCTATTACTAAAAAGTAAAATAATAATAGATGCTGGCAAGGTTGAGGAGAAAAGGGAATGGTTATACACTGTTGGTGGGAGTGTAAATTATTTCAACGATTGTGGAAAGCAGTGTGAAGATTCCGCAAAGAACTAAAAACAGAACTAACATTCAGCCCAGCCACAGCATAACTGGGTATATACCCAAAGGAATATAAATTGTTCTATGATAAAGG
This sequence comes from Homo sapiens, assembly GCF_000001405.40. NCBI lineage: Eukaryota > Metazoa > Chordata > Mammalia > Primates > Hominidae > Homo > Homo sapiens. Next base: position 84,103,907 of record NC_000005.10, read on the forward strand.
CACATGCACGCCTATGTTCACTGTAGCACCATTCACAATAACAAAGACATGGAATCAACCGAAATGCCAATCAATTGTAGACTGGGTAAAGAAAATCTGATACATAGACACCATGGAATACTATGCAGCTGCAAAAGAGTCAGATCATGTCTTTTGCAGGAACATGAATGAAGCTGGAGCAAACTAATTATCCTTAGCAAACTAATGTGGGAACAGGAAACCAAATACTACATGTTTTCCCTTAGCACCACTTACAGTGGGTGCTAAATGATGGGAACACACGGACACATAGAATGAAATAACAGATAGTGGGACTTACCTGAGGGTGAAGGATGGGAGGAGGGAAAGGACTAGGAAATATAACTAATGGATACTAGGCTTAATACCAGAGTAACAAAATAATCTGTACAACAAAAACCCCATGACATGAAGTATACCTATATAACAAACCTGCACATGTACCCCTGAACCTAAAATAAAAGTTTCAAAAAAAAAAAGAAAATTGGTAAAGTTTTGTAAAAAATAACATTAAAAATATATTATTAAAGAACACAATTATAAAATGAATACATTGAATATAATTCCTAAAAATTTATTGAATAACAATAATTTTTAGTTTTTCACCCATTATATTTGAGGTTCTCACTCTAATATAAAACCTTTCATGTTTACTTTAGCTGTTTTTCTCTGAGTTCATTATCATCTTCAGACCAAAAGCAAATTATCATCATCCCACTGACCTTAAAAGTAAAATAAGTTTTAACTATTGTTCTTAAGAGAATAAATCTAAATTTTTCTCAGTGTTGATCACTGTCCTGTTCGATTAAGGTTATTTCTGCCTACAGCCACTGGGATAAAGGGAATTAAAACTTCACACAATACTTTGAAAGGAAGAATGATGCATAGTGTTAAGTAGGCAATACTGGGACAAAGTAAAGTGAACAATCGGATATGAAACATTAATAAGGTGTTTCTCAGAGTAAACACTGGAAAAGCATGCTACTTATGGTTTATAGAAAGATGGCAATCATTGAAGCTCACGAACATAATTTGCCAAACAGAAACCCTGATGTAAACTGGTGATATCATCTCTCAACTGTTCTGAATTTTGGCTATGAATATTAATGTCTAAAGTTTTATCATGACCACAGTCCTACAAATGCATTTCAACTAGAGTGATTAAAAATGTCTCTGGAATGATTATTCATTAGTAAATATGATATAATTATTTTCTATTATTCTGTGCATATTTTAAACCTTAATCGATCCTTCACAAGTGTGATAAAACTGTATAGATGTGCCATTTCCACTATCTGGAGTTCATTTTGCACATGTTGCTATAGATTGAAAAAGTCAAGTGTAACTTAAGAAGCAATTTTAACAACTTCATGTAAATATAAATTCATAATACAAAACAAGAACTTCAGGCAACCTTATTAGAGCTCTATAGATAAAAGAAATGTTTATGAGACATATAAGAATGCCTAAGAAATCTGAACAAAGAAAGTATCTGAAGGAGATTTTGGCCCAGTTTTTCAAGTATGGAAGTCTTGCCTCTTAGCCATAAATCAATTTTCGTTTATACCAAATGCCTGTAAACTAGTTCTTGTATAGTACACCTAATTATGTCACATCAGGGATTTCCATGTTTCTTTGACTTAGAATACGTAGTAAACAGATAGAACAGATCAATCACCTAAACTAATCAAAACTCTGCAATATCTCCCTACTCTACTGAAATAAGGCTAATACCTTTTAGTATGACTCCCGAAGCACAGCAAACTCGTACAATGAATTTGAACACATCCCTCCAGCAACCTTTACTCTAGTCATGATTTTCTACAATATTCCCCAGATTGTCATGTAGCATCTTTAATCAGGCTGTTCCCTGGATGTTCAGTCTCTACTGAAAGCCATCCTTCTCAGGCCTAGCTCAAAAGCTATCTGCCCCAGGTGAGTTTCTCAAGATAATTAATGAATTCTTCCTCTGACCACAGAATACTGAATTCTTCCTCCCTTTAGTACACATCAATGACTTGTTAGATGGTTATTAATGTGCTTTCCCCAACAGAGGTTTACTCTTTCACAGACATCAGTTTTGATCATCTTTCTGTACTCCTAGTACATAGTTCATCTAAATGCTCAAAAAGCATTGAAATGTACAGAAATATAAGCTCTGGGCCTTGCTACCCCCTCTGGGAAATCACTTAATATTTCAGTATATTGTTGTTTTCTCCTGTTTTAAAAAATAGCTGGTTGATGAGAGTGAATAACACTATGAAATGAAACACCCTCAGCTTGAAAGAAGGTGCATTTGAGGTATTGTTATTATGATGCATGGTATATTTTATACTTGCATTTGTGGACCCACTTCTTAGAGATAGAAAACATTGATATAATTTTTATGTTCTTAAAGTATCATAAGTTGCTGCTAAACGTTATCACAGTGGTAATGAACACACAGTATACAGAAAGTCTCCTGCTTTGATATGCACCTTAAAACAGTGATATTTATACCTGAATATTTTTAACGTTTTTGATCTCTTTAACTAACTTCTTAATGGAATGTGCATGTTTTTTACTTCTCAGAATTGGGAGCTAATTTGAACTCTTCACTAAATTACCCTTTCCTCTGACCATAAGGAAGAGTCACACTGAGTTCCCTTTTGTCTGCTTTTTAAAATGACCAGAATCATTTAAAAATGACTTATAACATTAACCTTGTCCCATCCCATCTGTTACCTGAATCCACGGCCATCTGTCATTTTCTGCAGCTGTCCACGCATTTATAAGCCCCTTCTTATTAAGACGTGCATAGTAGGGATACCATTTTTGGAGTCCAAAAAGAGCTCGGTGAGTAGAGGAAGCTGTGATTTGCTGGTTTGATATAATTCCACCTTCAATTCCCAGTGGGCCTGAGCATTCTGGAAACAAAAACAGGAAAAAATATGAATGTATTAGAAACAATGCATATACAACATGTGTCTGTTCGATTTGATAGGATTTTTTTAAATGATTTGAATTTGCACCACCATGCTATTTACTCTTCATCCCCTTTACAGATCTGTTATCGATCTCTAAATTAAGGAAATAATTCTTGCTTCTCATGACCCTCTCTTCCTTCTTTGCTTTGAAAGTAGTCACTTAATAGACACTTCCCTTCTGCATTATGATTCTGGTTCTGTACTGATAGCTTCTGGTTGTTGATCACGTCAACAAAAGCATAATGCTCTTAAAAGGCTTATCTCATATTTTATATTCCCGGAGATTAGCATGCCTCACAAATTATAAGCTCTCAACAAATATTTTTCCATCCATTATTTCTTTATTATCATAAAGCTGAGCTTTTTTTCAAAGTTATTTTTGTACTAATTTAGCATTTCTCACTACTATAAACTTTATAACTTAAATTTTTATACCCACCATCAGTTATGCTTCCACAACAAAAGGGAAATGGGTAAATCTGTTAACATTTAAAAATATTATTATAATACCCCATGATATATTATAAATTATAAAATATATGTAGACAAATTATTTTTATAAAGAGAGCAGGTAAACTCTCTGACAACATTATACATGACAATGTGTACAACTCAGTAAATCAAGATATTAAAATACTTATTAGCACTTTAGTTTCAAATTCACAATTCTACATATTGGGATTCTGCATGTATATCTTCACATTTGCAACTGAGAAACTTAAGAAAATTTTCCAATGAAATTTTAAAATACTAAGATTAAAACACATTATGCTCAAATGATATGTTCTCAGATACCAAATGTATTTAGTTTTTCAAATTAGAAATGGAGATAAATCCATCCTTAAAAAATTACATATATATTTGTATTATATATAAAATTATATATAAATTCTTAATTGCGTTATAAAATTTCAGCAGAAGGTACATTTCTTTTAAATTCAGTTTTGAAAATTCAGAATAAGTAGGGATATGATATAAGGAAAAGATGTTCTTAATTTCATTAACATTTCATATACTATACTGAATATTTTGCCAATTTAGATTTGTATAATATATACGATAATTGTATTATAAAAATATACTACAATAATTTATCAGAATTTATGAAAATAAGAAAGAAGTTCATTGCTACTACTAAATATCAGTATATGAAAGTCAACTTGATTGGTGATTATGACCAAGTACATTTTAGATTTTAATTACTGTCAAAATCCAACATTTGTCAGTAATTAAATGTTTACACTTAGATTGAGGTTGAAAATAAGAAAAAATATTAGGAGCCAAATTATAATATTTTTGAAACTTAGTAAGATATTTCTCACTGTTAACCATATTTTTAATTGTCATAAACATGGTAAGTAGCTCTGATGGCTTTCAAATTTTTAAATTTTTTTATAAAGAAGATAAAAATATATGGATAAGTAATCATCTTAATCAGACTGTATTAGTAAAGACAACATTAATACAGTAAAAATTGCATCTTTGCCATTGACAAAAAATTACTTGGTATGATAAATTTAGATAATAAGATCTTTTTTTAACATGTAATTAGGACTGCTTAGCACTTTATGAAAGTATACTATATCACTTTAGAATCATTAAATTAAGAAGCCATTCATTAGTAGAATTGAAGTCTTACGAGCTGCAGATGATAATCTGATTTTCACATTCCCAAAAACTTAACGTTAAAAGTTCAGATATTAATTCTTTGGACCCTTATTTTGCTTTCCATTTTAAACTTCAAGATCTTTACAGACTTCATAAACGTACTAAGAAACTTTCATGATGACACTGTGACTTTAGTAATGGCAGGAGCCTAGCTTTTTAATAATATTGTCATCAAAGGGGTCTCAAGCATCTTGTCCTTAGTTTGTACAATGTTTGGATGGAAAAATGAAACAGGCAGGGAGATCTTTTATTGCAGGCCATTTATTGTAGGCCAGTAAGTAGACTAGCAGAGCTAGAGAGCCAGAATTGATTAATGAGCTGTATGGCAGACTTAAAAATAACTCTGTGCCATTTAGTTGTATACCTCTAAAGACCTTATGCTGAATTAGATATCTTCACAGAATTTGTAACTATTTTAAAGCAGAGAGTAGATCTCAAATCACAATATCCTATAATTCTACTTCATTGTTTAATCTATCAACCTCCCTTTAGTAGCTAACATATCAGGAAACTCATTGACTTTGAACTGTTGTATTTATCAGATAAGCCAAATACCAATGAGCGATTTTGAAAATATATATGTGCAACTCACTCTGCCATAAGGTTCCAAATCTTTGCTATGCTCTTTAGTCCTGCATATTAATTCTTTCAAAAAACATAATTCAAGCTGGGCGCAGTGGCTCATGTCTGTAATCCCAGCACTTTGGGAGACCGAGGCAGGTGGATCACCTGAGGTCAGGAGTTTGAGACCAGACTGACCAACATGGTGAAACCCTGTCTCTACTGAAAATACAAAAATTACCTGGGCATGGCAGCATGTGCCTGTAGTCCCAGCTACTCAGGAGGCTGAGGCAGGAGAATCACTTGAAGCCAGGAGGCGGAGGTTGCAGTGAGCTGAGATCACACCACTGCACTCCAGTCTGGGTAACAGAGTGAGACTTCATCTCAAAAAACAAAACAAAACAAAAAAGCAAAACAAAAAACCCTCCACAATTCAAATAATATATATTGACATGATATATTATAGGGTTATATCTTATACAAAGTATTTTTGCATGAGCTATTTCATTGCCATGATGTCAAATTTACAAGTATCACCAGTCCTCGATTCTATATTGTTGCTTTAAACAAACAAAAACAAACAAAAATACCCCCCAAAAACCAATTTCCAACAGTTGCATACCACACTCTGTCACTTACATATAGTCAAAAAAGGCCACCAAAGGAAGCATGACTGTGATGGGGATTCTTGAATGAAGTGTGAGTCTGTGAGTTGTCAAGGTACTGCCTTGAGTTAGTGATTCTGCATTTTCCTACTTTTTAAAATCGGGGTTATGATGACACTTAACTTATCAGTTGTGAAGAAGACAAGATAATGAAAGCTTTGCTTTTGGAGCTATAAATTGCTGAAAAAATAATGAGCTTGGTTCTGTAAGGTTATTTTCATACTTCTTTTTAGAGGACCTCAACTGAAGTAATCCTGGCTTTTTAGCCCCTTTCGAGTAGGAGCTAGGTATTTCTCACTGTTATATCCTTAGATGCTCATGGTGGCTTGTACACAGGAAAAGCCCAATAAATATGCACTGAACGTTGTTATTGGGGGCTTTTTTTGCTTCTAAACAGTAAAGTAATAAGCAAATCCAAGCCTTAGATTTATTTCACTCTGCGAAGTTGTCACAACAGCAGATTTTCTTCACTAATCATGTGGACCACAATCAAATGGATGTCATCACAATAAAAAGTTCAAAATCCAATTTCCTTTTGCCTGTGCTATCCACTTCCCCCATATCCTATTAAATTCAACAGTTATAAAAACCAGTGAAGGAATTACAATTCAGAATGCAAATGAATATACACCTAAGATTAAGTGACCTTAAGCAATTAATAACAGGATGCTTAAAAAGAAAGATAATATGAAAATATACATTGCTTTTACTATCAACAAATGATAGAAGATATATGAAATGATAATTGATGAAGTAATCAATGTCAGATGAGAACTCTGAAGTTTGAAAAGTGTACCCACATGTGTTTTCTCATATAATCTTTGAAATAATACTTCAAGAAAAAAATGTTTTCAGGACTATTTCATGAATTAGAAAAATTGTGAGGATGGAAGTTAAGCTTGTAAAAGATGACTGTGTAATTTAATGTGGAGAGTTCAGTAATTCTTCAAAATTTGACTCGGATCTTTTCCTTCTGCTATATTATGTGAAGCATACATACTTATGCATCCTAGGGGAGGCAACAGGAACATTAACATGGAATGAACATACAAGATATCACTAGTAACACTGAGGATGTAATGGAGTTTTCACAAGTTGGGATCCACTGCAACAGTACATAATGTATGGCACTGATATGGTATGCCTCTGTGTCCCCACCTAAATCTCATGTTGAATTGTAATCCCTAGTCTTGGGGGAGGGACCTGATGGGAGGTGACTGGATCATGGGGACGGGCTTCCTCTTTGCTATTCTCATAATGGTGAGTTCTCATGAGATCTGGTGGTTTAAAAGTGTGTGGCACGTCTCTCTTCACACTCACTCCTGCTGCCATAGGAAGACATGCTTGCTTCCCCTTTGCCCTTCCCCCATGATTGTAAGTTTCCTGAAGCCTCCCAGCCATGCTTCCTATACAGCTTGTGGAATGGTGAGTCAATTAAACTATTTTCTTCATAAATTACCCAGTCTCAGGTAGTTCTTTATAACAATGTGTGAATGAACTAATACAGGCATTCAGTCACAGAATTAAATACCTACAGTTTATAGTGTGTCTGTCTCCTAAGGTGTTAAAATTAACCTGATACCATCATTGGCTTATACTCTGCTTATCTAATACGGATAGGCAAATTCTGTTCTTATTAATTTATTGACCTCTAAGTATATGCTCATCCACCCATCACTCCATCCGTTCATTTAATTCAGTTTTGAAAATACGTGTTTATTGAAGCCCTTCTACATATTTGGCACTTTTCTAGGTAGTAGTGACATAGGGATAAATAAGGCAGAAAAGGTCTATGCTCTTAAAAGATTCACATTCTAGTGGAGAGACAAATAATAAACAAACACTTAAACAAGAAAATACCATGAAGTGGTATGTGCTATGAAGGAAAAAAAGAAGGGTGAATCAAGTGTGGGTGTCAGGTGATCAGAGATGGCCTTTCTGAGAGGTTACACCAAGTCTCATCTCTGAATGGGAAGAAGGAGCTGGCTATGTTTACAGTACTGGTTTCCTCAAGGGGCTTCAGTGTAATGGGGAGACACAGAGAAATAAGAACATTTTTATATAATATGGCAGATATTGTGTTGGTGAATGCAGAAGATTCAGTGGGAGAAGAGAAGAGGGAATAATAACCTAGCTTGGGGCTCTGGGAATGATTCCCGGAAAAGAATAGGAGCTTGCATAGTGGAGAGAGGAGACAGGATAGACACAGGCAGGGAACAGGCTGCTATGATGAGGGAATTAGAGGCAGTTCAGTATCACTAGATCAAGATGGGTTGGTGGGGGAATGGTTAAGAGATGAAGTGGAGAAGTAGAAAAATGCTAGATTATTTTGCAGAAGACGGTGATGATAGAATTTGGTTCTGTTAGTGATGGGGAGTTTTTGAAGGACTCTATGGCCACATTTTCATTTAATTTAGATCATTCCCACTGTGCCATAAAGAGTAGATTTAAGACGGGACAAAACTATGTCCAAAGAGTAAGCTACTACAGTTGTCCATGTGAAAAATAATGCAGATCTGAAAGAGGGGCGGAGAAGAGGAAGAGTTCAAAAATATTTAAGAGGTAAAAGTAGGCAGAACTAGTAATGATTAGATGCAAGGTAGAGGAGGGAAATGGAGTGTTTGAATTTCAAAGGGTCCAGAGAGCAAACATAGGTGTTTCCTTTCATTGAGATTGGCCACGTTTCACAAATAACATCACTGGACCAAATTCCTCTCTTAAAATTTATCAAAAATCATTCTTGCTGTTGGATTGAATGTGGGAGGATCTGCTTGTCTTACCTTCCTTCTCTTGCTATACTGATTTTGGTGGGCTACTCTCAACATCTCTCATATCAGTCAGGCTGCAGGGACAGGATTGAGATGTAAAAATCTGCTTCTATGCTCAAACCATGTCCAGTACTTCCCTGGTCCACAACTCATCCACATGTTTATGTGTGCCCATCTGTTTTCTCACAAGATAGAGAACCCCTTTGTAGGCAAAGATTATATTCCTCACAGTATCTAGCAGCAAGCTTCAATTTCAGTGAACATTTAATAAATGTCGGTAGAGGGAATTACTTCTAAAAAATAAATATGAAAGGTAAATAAACAATACAAATGGCAGGTAATATGGTACCATTTTATTTGTATACTTCATTTTTAATTAAAAATCATTTACACTTACACTTACATGCTCTCAAAGGTACACAGATATAGAGGCCTTCTTTAGAAATTTTTTTTATGATGAGTAAAGAAGAGCACTTGTTTACTATTTAAAAAAAATGTAACTGATAGTGGTCTGTCTGGGTCTCTTCTCTTTCAAATCGCTGCCACACAGCATTACCAGGTATTTCTGAAATTCCCCATTGTTACCTCTAGAGAGGGCATAGTGGCAATTCGATCAATGCTGAATACAAAAATAGAATACGGTAGTAGAATATGGTAGTCTGCATTTCCTGGCTGTAAGATCTGTGTTTATGCATCCTTGGTATTGTGCTTGCTTTTGTCAGGTACGACAATAATCCTAAATTAATGAGTCCATTCAACATTGGCTACCAGAGAATTTCAGGCACCTTTTATACAGTCATTTAAAATAATTACACTGCCTGAATTGTCTGAGTAGACTGGAAGTGCCTTCTGACCTGACACCCTGCTGTTCAGACTAATACTGAGCAAGTGAGTCACCTGGCAGGTTGAGCAGGAGCAGCTGGGCTAGCTGGGGGCCAAACTTCAAGTGCCTCCCCATAGCAACTTTTCTGCTTTGGCCAAGAGGGATGTGAATAAAATAGCTTCAAAGTGGAGTCCTTCTCACTCTGCAAATTCATTCTCTGGAGTATGGCAAAGAATGGCTTCTGCATTTTATTGATCTTGCAGCTGACAAGTAAGCAGTGCCTCAAGATGTCTCGCATCTTGTTCCTGAGTGTGCTGATTAAGCCTTTCAAATAAGTGAGATGCACAGCTGAATCCGCAACAGGAATGTACTGCTTTCATTTGCTCTATCTCAATATCCAGACATCTTCAGAATGAAAGGATTTCAAATTAAAACCATGTAAGAAACAAATCTCCTTTAAACATCTCCAGTCCTCCCTTTCTCCGAGCATCTCATCTTATACGAGTGAGTCCTCTGCTGTGCTTAATACAGCGTGATAATTGTGCTGAATGCAAGCACTGGTGAATGGATTAGTGATGACCTCCAGTACTGCAGAAATTAATGCTGATTCAAATGTAAGCTTTCCTCTGTGCCACTTGGACAACAGCCTTTCTTTTATTCCTAGCATTTGTTTTATTTTAGAGTTGTCTTGAGACCAGGCTTTAATTGGTGAGGGAGGGATCAAGGCTACTCTTTCTCACGCTGTGGCCTGAGGGTTTAAAGGAACCCTAAAGTTTTTTTTTTTTTTTTTTTTTTGATGAGTCGTGTCAGCTAAGCCCCCATGCATTTGATTTGATTTCTCTCAAGGCTATCATTTTTCTGGTGTGTTAGGAAGTTGTATCAGAAGAAAGAGGTCAGGGGATGGAGTGAAGATGAGAAGTTTAAGAAAGGGTGATTCGGGAACAGGGCCTGAATATTCCAGTTCAGGTGTAGGAGATGGAAAAATGGCCAAAAAGTTTCCCGGATACAGAGTGAGAATGTGAAGGTAAACATGCACAACACAGCCTTAGCTTCACTTACTCATTCCCAAATTCCTGCAGAGCACCCCCTGGGTGTCAGCCTCTGGTTATGGCACTGAGAATAATCACCTTCAAAGGAATTAGAATGAAAATTCCACTTGGTGATGTTCATCTCTCTCCACACTGAGATTGCTTCTTTGTATTGGGGTATAAACATTACATACAGTCACAGTAACCTTCCTTAGGAAAACTAGTAATTGAGAAATCCTTAATACTGTTTTCAAAAATTAGTTAAACTTACTTGGATTCCATATAAATTGCACGTGTACCTTAAAGAAAAGGCTGTTTCTTCCTATCAGATGGGCAGCATAGCTTAGATAAATGCTAATTTTTCTCACAATTGTGAATACTGTGATTCTGTGGTATTTCGCTGGGAAAACATTCTCTCAATTTTATTACGACCTATATTCTATTATTTTCCATATTGAAAGCTCAGAAGGTGTCCAGGTTAAATGAAGATGAACAGCAATTTGTGCATTTTTTTTCCCTCTGAGACAATATGCTTCTTACAGGTAGAGACGATGCCTTTTGCATTATTTAGGTTTTCAAAGCACTTAGCACAGTGCTTACAAATGGGCAGCTCTCAATATTACGGGATAAAGTAAACTAAAACAAATCATTGCTTTTTGGAATTACTTTTCTTTCTTTTTTGAAGGTGGATTAGTCCTCTGAATGTAGATATTATCACTCTAAGGATTCAACATACTGGGTGGGTGTTAAAATCGGAAATGCTTTCTTCATATACTGGCAGGCTTAAAAATATATAAGAATCAGCTCTTGGAGGTAGGGGAAATACTATATTTGGAATGAAAACCACATTTATAAAGTCACAAATGCAATTATCAGCCATCTAGCTATTTCCTTTAAAATGTGGCTATGTTTTCTTCACACTGTGTGTTATCTCAAGCCAATTATGATATATTATCAGTTTAAATTAATTGTTTTCAATTCAGAAAAAAATGAAGCCCATGAATAAGCTAAACTATAATAAAAATTGTCTATTAATATTTCTCAAATTGATTTGTGAGCATATTGATGCAGAATAATGGTTATTATTTAAATAGTAGAGCCTATGAACTCCAGTATTCAAAGGCCAAAATTCTTATTGAGATAATTCACAAAAGTTGACAAAATCTAAGACGATTATCCTCTTATCACAGTAAACAGTTCTGCTGTAGGACAACAGAAGAGTTCATTGTAGTTTGCTTAAGATGTATTCTTTTAAAATGGAAGAGTATTTGGATTTTTCATGTGGTAAAAACAATATGGATTGATGAAACATTTGTCTGTAAAGTCAAAAGCCTGAAATTCAAAAACCTGTAGCTGTACACCTGTTCTTGCTTTCTGACAAAACATATATCTACATAGGAAAGAGCTAAGAAGGGTATAATGCCAAGGTTAAAATGCTAAAAGAGGGACTGAGTTGCTTGAAGAAACATGAGTCAAATACAAAATGTAAACATCCATACAGTGCTTGTAGAAGACAGATTCCTATGCTTTTAAGTTATTTATATGTTTTAAGATTTTTTGGCAAATGCACATCAGGCTACGTGCCCTAAGGCATTGCCTTTGATGTTTGGTTATAAAGCAATATTACTGCCATGTCAGGCACTGATTTTTATTTGAGAGATAAATCATAGTACCAAACCCAATTACCAGCTATATCTAGTTATTTTGTTTTCTGTACAATGTAGTTATCTTTTCTTCACACTGGATGTTAATTTAGGTCTAGTATGAAATTTTAGTGTTCCAGAGGTCAAAAAAAAAAAAAAAAAACCCCAAGAGATGAAACAGGAGGCCATTGCAGGTGCCAAGGAAAGACATACTGAGCTCTGTCTAATACTAGCACACTTCGAAAAGTTGTGGAAGAAATGACAGAGAGCAAAATGGAGCCTAGAAAAGTATAGTAGATGATTTGTTCATTTGAATTCTAGAGACATCTATATTATGCATTTACTTTTAAAAATGTAAGAAAATATTTTTCATTTAGAAGATAATAGGTAATACCTGCATAATCAGAAAAGTATTAGGTTGGGTCAGGGACCTAAACATTCTTGCAATTAATTTCAAAGCCTGCTCTCTAAGTCACAACCTCAGCTGTGCTGTGTTTCATCTTTCCAAATTAAAAAAAAATTGCCAACATTTCCAGTATAAAGTTGAAATAGAGGATGAATTCTTGATAATATGTATTTACTAATTGAACCTTCCTACAAATAAAATTGCCACAAATGTTTTAAATATTGTATTTACAGTGGCTTTGGTAATCCTGAAAGGAATAATTCAACATAGAACTTTAAACATAACAAATGTAAAGCTACTAAAACAAAGGATGCTTTACCAATTTTATAAAAGAATATCGAGAAGGATTTAATAGAGTAACAATTTTATTATAAACCTGTTGAAGCTAAGCCAGCTTTTCATACATTATCTCTTATTCAGTAGAGATTCATACTGGATGTGTTTTATCAGTAATGAATATGGATCAGCCTATTGAAATATGAAAGTTGACTTCTGTTTCTTTTCAAATTTATTGTACGTAATAATAAAGTATACTCTGACATTATGTAGTATCCAAGTTAAGTACTTATTTTTTTTTTTTTTTTTTTTTTTTTGAGACGGAGTCTCGCTCTGTGGCCCAGGCGGGAGTGCAGTGGCGCAATCTCGGCTCACTGCAAGCTCCGCCTCCCGGGTTCACGCCATTCTCCCGCCTCAGCCTCCTGAGTAGCTGGGACTACAGGCGCCCACCATCACGCCCGGCTAATTTTTTTTTGTATTTTTAGTAGAGACGGGGTTTCACCGTGTTAGCCAGGATGGTCTCGATCTCCTGACCTCGTGATCCACCCGCCTTGGCCTCCCAAAGTGCTGGGATTACAAGCGTGAGCCACCGCGCCCGGCCAAGTACTTATTTTTGTTGAACAATATTTGTAGTAAAAACAATATACAGAATTTGCTAGTACTACCCAATAATACATACATACATACTAAAATCTTTAGCTGCTGAAATGGGTATGGAATATTAGTTGTGTTCAACAAAATATCCATAATGGGATAAATTACTATTTTCTAAAATGTTGCAGCAGAATACATTATTGCTATAGAGTTTGGCCTAGTGATTAAGTAAATAAACAAATATACTTCTTATAAACATATTAAAAATATATGACAAATGCAAAGTTGTAAATAATCCTATGCTTGTCCATTATGAAGTAGTAAATTTTGAAAAAAAAAAAGCCCATAATAGAATTACCTGCTTACCTTAAGCTTTTAAAGAAAAGAGGACTTAATACTTTTTTTTTCATTTTGGCTTTATAAAAAAGACTAATTTCTTCAGAAGCTTTCATCCTGCAAATGTTGGCTAGCTCACCACTCTAGTAGGTTAATTTATGGGATGAACCAGGAACTAGGTAGGGACTATAAAGTCACAAACATAAAATGATGCATATTCATTACCACAAAATAAAAATAACAGAATTAATTTCATTTCTAAAAAATTTTGTACAAATGAGAATAGTGACTGAATTTTCTTAGAAATCATTATTTTTTAGTCCAATGCTTCAAAAAACAGTAAATGGATATTTTTTAACTTAATAGTCTTATGGATACAGCAGGATATAGTCATTCTTTTAATATACAGGGAAGATAAATTGCATAAAAATACACAAAGCAAACCAGAAATATAAATTTTACCTTACATTAGTAAGAAAGTATCTCATTAATTGAACATTTTTATTTAATTACTAAAATCCTCTTAAACTACAACAACGAAAAAAACAAAAAAAGGAAAGATTGTGTGAGTGAGCTAAAAATTGCTCAGGCAGGGGGTTATGGTAATATATCCTTAGTGCCTTCATATTTTGAAAAGTTATCAGCTCAGCTAACTAAAGCTACATAGATAAAAGATAAAAAGAAAATAGAATCACTCAGTTTATATTTATAGATTAATTAGATTAATTTATAGGTGCACAACTTCATCAGATCATACAATTTACAAATGCAGGTAATTTAATTGGGAAATAACTACGGTAACAAGTATAGTGTAGTGGTAACTTATAATATACATAAAGCACCTCATTGAGTCTTCACAAACTTTCTATTATATCATTTTATCAAAACTGTTCCTCATTGGAATTTTGGTTAAGGATATGAAGGCAAATACAGGTGCAAAAATCTCTACTCTGAACAGAACCCTAAAGAAAAAGTGTGTCCTACTTCATGGAAGCATTTCAGTTGTGACGCCAGAAAGTTTAGAGTTGGAATTTCTACCCCACTACTTAACAGCTGTGTGGCCTTGGGGGAATTGTTTAATCTTTCAGCAGCTCCAGATTAATCCAGTGGTGTACAAATTTTGATGCACATTAGGATTACACAGGAAGCTTTAAAAATTCCAATGCCAGGCCACATCTCATACAGTACCAATTCAATTAGAATGCCTTGGGGTACGAGCCAGACATATATATTTTTAAAGTTCTCAGTGATACCAATATACACCAAAATATGGGAACTGTGCTGGTTAATAATGTGTATTCCAGGGAGAATAACACCCATTTTACAGGTTTGTTTCATAAGTTTGAAAGAATACATGGTTAGCACATAGTAAATTATATGGCAACCAATATACCTTTAGTAAATGGTAGCTTTTACATTGTTGTTGTTTTACCACAATAAAACAAAAATAAGAGATAAAAAGTCGTAGTTGGAGGAGACTGACCTCTTTTACTACCTGGAGACACATGGTTTAAACATATGCTACCAGTTCAGCCATGTTTTACATGCATTTGGTTTTTTTTTTTTTTTTTTTTTTTTCACAGAAATGAAAATGGAGTAGAACATCTACTCCCATTTCCCATGCAAAATGTTATTCAATAATAAAAAACGTGAATACATACATAAGCACGATTATTAATCATGAGCTGTTACCAAAAATGATTCAAACTATCATGCCACTTGGCATCTCCTTAATACCATATTTATCATCAGATATTTCTGTCACCAAAGCATTCAAATTGTCAGATAAAAATCTCTGCCTGGGGGAAATATAAACTATGGCTTCTTGTAATGAATGAAAATGAAATGATTCCCCACAGTTTATTGCCAGACTCACTGGAAATAAAAATTACTAATTAAATAATCTTAGTTTAAAATAGGTCTGGGTCTGTCAAGCACTTTTCTTCATTGTGGTACAAAATGAGGATGTCCTACGGAAAAGTTTCATATTAACACTTTGATAAATCAGATTACAATTCTGAAAAGCACTTTTATAATCGAGTTTTTCCCCCACTTTAATATCTGAGTAATCTTATCTTTAGGATAAATGGAGATAAAGTTTTACCTGCTGGCAGTTTTGTTGGAGCAATCAACAAAATCTCATTTCTTGAATTCCACAAATGAGAGTAAAGTAACAAACCATTTCCCCCCAAATTGAATAATACCTGATTTCTGTATCTTCAGCATATCCTTTTTTTTGTTTCATCATGACTTATATTTGCAATAAATTTGAGAAGAATGTTAATATTCATTGTTTCTGATTTCTAAGGACATAAAGGGGATGTCTTGGGAAAAAAATTCACAAAATGCCCCTTGGTACCCAGCCAACTCTTTTCATAATCTGTTTTTGAGATTTTTAAAAAAAACTATGCATAACTATTGATTTCTTATGAAGTGTCACATAAAGAAAGTAAAATGAGACAGTTTCAGAAAAAAAGTATGGTAAATTCAGGAATTGCACACCTTTGCACAAGAGTTGTCAAAAGCACATGATAAAAAATTTCAGGTGGTACAATAAAATATTCTGGCTTTTTTGTTCTATATATAGGAGTGTGGCTTTTATTTTGATACAGAAGTCAAGTGGGTGGCAATATCCACTTAAAATCTCTAAAGAGCTGAGTGATTATTCTTAATATATTTGCATCTTCCTTCTCCAGTCATCAACCTCAGCATTGCCTAGCACTTGGCTGACTAGTGGTTGAAGATGAGATGGATGGAAGGAAGCTTGATAAAACACTACTTTAAATATTTTATCATTTTAATAAAGATTGTTAATATAACACCTGGAGTTTAGGACTCTGTTTCCTTACTCCTTCAGATGACACAGATGCCGTGGCATGAAAATCATCTAAAAAGAGCAATTTTTTTCCGTTGTCATTATTAATTACTTGTCCATGACTAAAAATTCCGTTTTACAAATAAAATTAGAAATTCCTAACCTTCCTATTAGTTTTGTTCTTGAGTATATCCAAATATCATCCTGACTGGAAGACAGCATTTTGAAAGTGTATCAGTAGCATTAGAAAACAAAGATAGTTTAATCACATGAAACCAAAGGAAAATGTCTTTATACAGGTCTCTTTTTCATGAAGACATGGGCTGAGTATGATCTTTTTAAGGTTTGACTGCACACTCTGAAGCCTGTTGGGGTTAGAAATACTAAGCACTAAGTAAAAAAAATATGAAAAGGAATAATGATAATACTAAACACCTGTGTTCCTAAAAGGTCTGTAATTTCAGCAGAAAGATTGCCACTGAGTCCTCATTCATACATGCCAATGGGTAACAGTGACAGTAGGGAGGGGATTACTATAAAATGAAAAGTAAATCAGGCTGTTTTAATGATTTAGAATTATATTGTGCTATTGTCTACAGTATACGTTATCTGTACAATTAGTTTATTAAGGAGGTGGATATTCTCTAGTGATTATACTCTGGTGTACATACGTTGAGCATTCCTTACGAATCTGGGTCTAACCCCTCCAACTTAGTTTCATTGCTATCTGCTTAGTTGCTGAAAGTGAGAAATCAAAATACTGATAACTAATTCAGAAGCTTCTATCTGGAAAAGATTTTAAAACAACAAAAATTAATATTTTAAGTGAAGTTGTGAATAAATGGTATTAGTTATATCAGCTATTAAATTATGTGCTAATTTCACTGCTTAACTCATTCTCCTATTTGTCCTCTCTTTTCTCATCTAGCCAATTCTGTTGTAGCCCAGAATCTCACTGCCAGTACTACCGCCTCCTTCTTCTTAATGGCGTCCCCTTTATTGATCCTACACACTGCATTCAGAATAAACTTCCCCATTATCTGACCAGTTCACTAACTTAGATCGATCTATCTATCTATCTATCTATCTATCTATCTATCTATCTACATTTTTTTTTCAATAGGTCCCCATTGGTCAGAAAAAAAAAAGGTCATCCTCTTGGCTGCTTGAAATTTACCTTCTAGCAATATCAAACTGCAAACCTTAGACTGAATTTTACTTAGATGACAGTGTAGGAAGTATTTTTGCAGCTCATGCCTCTGTCCTTTTCTTCGCTGTCCCAGCGTTCCCCCAAACAGAGTTATTTGTGCCAATTCTGGGGTACAAAAAGACTCTAAGCATATGTGTATCATAGCACTGAGCATTTAAATATACTTTTAATGGGCATTTATGTATTTAAGAATTTGTCTTCCACATTAGATTGTAAATTCTTCCAAACAACAGTTATATCTGGGTCCTGACCGATAAATGGGCCTATTCCTCGCATCTTATAAAGAGCCTGGAAGTAACAGCTGCTCAAAAACATCATTGATCAATTTAATTGAGGCAAACATAACAGACAGTATCTCCCTCTAGGATGGTTCTCTACCTTGCAATGCAAACTCTTGCAGCATTTTACCCATTCTCACCTCAAGTGCACTTCACTCTTGTATATCTCCTCATCCAATATCTTTCTCTTCTGCAACTAAGATAAGTAATATCTAAATGTGTTGATTCCCTTGTTTAGGTGGACTGTCCATAACTCTTTCCTGCTCCCCTTCCAAAGGTATGGATTTATCTTTTCTCTCACAGATCTTCCTAAAAAATACAAATGGAGCCTGCACATACATACTGCAGAGAAAAATATGTCAGGCATTTTGGCCTTAAAACAACCCCATGGAGAGTATCTTTTTATTATTATTATTATACTTTAAGTTCTAGGGTACATGTGCACAACGTGCAGGTTTGTTACATATGTATACATGTGCTATGTTGGTGTGCTGCACCCATTAACTCGTCGTTTACATTAGGTATATCTCCTAATGCTATCCCTCATGGAGAGTATCTTTATTTCCAATTGTAATTGAGGCAATTGAGACTCAGAGAGGTTAAGTAACTCCCCTAAAGTCTTACAGCCAGGATTTGAACCCAGGTACATCTATTACCAATGGGTCATGATAAACATTGTAATGACACGCTGGGGGTGTTCTGTTTGCTGCATATGCCTTAAGGAGTGTGGAGAAACTATAAAAAATGATGAGGAGGGCACTTAGATGTCTTGTTTATGAAGATGTAGGACAGTGATCTAACTCACTTTGTGTTCTCCGTCACCGTTGTTCTGCCGTGGTTGGACTAAAGATTCAACATGGACTGTTATTCATTCAACATTTAACTAATATTTATTGAGCCTCTTCTTTGTGCAAAGCAGAGGTATAACATTTAATACTTTAGTTTTCTAAGATTGAAAGTGATTTTACAGCTGAAGCAGGTTATTAGAAACTAAATTCAGAATAATTTTATAATGAGACATCTGTAGACTAGGAACATGGTGAACTGCCTACCTCAAGAACTTCTACAGCCTTATTTTTCCTCTCTCTCACTGTGTATTTTCTCTCTACAATTTAATAACTATTTTCACATTTCCTCTTTTAAGAAAGCCTATTACAGCATAGTGCATTTTTCTCTGTTTAAGAAAATGCCTCAGGATAAATTGTGGAGGCAATTATTTTCAATGCTAACATCTTCAAACATGAAACCAGCATCTGGGCAATTATGACATTAGTCTGATTTAGCATTAAAAGGTAAAAGTTTATGTATAAATTTCAAAATTTTAAGCATTATTTTATCAAGAATTTTGTGTCCCAACCACAGATCATTTTTGTTGCTGTGGTTAAATTTGTTTCTAATAGTCTTGTGTTTCATGTATGTACACAACAATCCTTAAATGAATAAGCAAATACCAATTAAACATTCATATATGCATAAACTTGGATTTTGCCTGTATATTTCTCTTTTCTATCATATTCACGTTAATGTAGAGCCAAGGCTCATTATCTGTGTCAACAGATTAGAAAGTAAATTGAGTAAAATAAATCAATTGATTATGTTTACTTCACACACCTTGCAATCATTTGAAAAGTTAGTTTTAACTCCCATTTCTCAAAAGCATGACTAATTAATAACATGAATTATTAACTGAAACATGATTTTTATAGGTTTTTACTTCTCTCTAGTACTTTATTGTTAAGGTAGAATACTAAAAAAACATCATTTCAATGAGTAATAAAAGCAGCCTTGTAGACAATTTACTTGTCTATCCAGCTCCTAAAATTTCAAAAACTGTATGTACTGTCATATTCTTGGAAGCAGTGGAGGTGTGACTAGAGTGAAAAACAGTAGTTCCTTTTTACTTACATGTTGTTAAAAAGTATAAGACCAATACTATGCAGTTTTCTACTATTTTTTCTTTTATAAAATTCAGTTTAAACTTGGATTAAATGTATCCAGTTGCCTGTTCATTATGTTTAAACAAGTGTTTATCTGCTTCCCAATTTTACACCAATCAAAATAGATGAAGGTAACTTTCTCCCTAGAGAATTCTTACTAAACTCAGAGACATCTTAGCCACTCGACTGCCTGAACTTATCAAATGCCCAACTTATCCAGGTATGCATAAAATACTTATGCAGGTATTTTAGGTATTACCAAAGAGAAAATTAAGTACACTGAAGAAACAATGTCTATTTTACCGACAAATTTTAGATCGGAAAAGGGATTTGGCCAACCAGACACAAGGGAAGACACGTTGTAGAAAGAACCAAGTAACAATATGTAAATATTATATGCATAGCCTCTGATGGTATGTTACATGTGTCGATTTAAATGAACTCCATTTTAGAATGAAATAAAATTGAATAATTAATTTTGTGGTTCCCAAGTATTCCTGTTCAGATATGGAATACTTTTGTAATCAGAAAACATGTTTAAGAAAATTTTAATGGACCTTTTGTTCAAAACAGGTGAAATGTCAACAGTTTTCCAAGTGAAAACTCTATCGGAGATGCTATTGTCACCTGCTAAGTGGCACAGAGATGCCCACTAGAAATTAATTGATAGATAATTGTGCATTAGAAAAATTACTTTATTCTTATCATATTGGCTTATCAACTTCATTGGACAGAATTTTATGTGTTACTTTGTATATTGTTAGGTTAATAATACTGCTACCCAAGGAACAAAAAAAAATAGTTTTACTTTTTATGATTAGACCAAATACCAGAAGGACACGGTTAATAGCTTTGTGGGAACTTTTGTAGTGTTTTGCATAATGAATGAACTCACCAAAGCTCCTATGACAAAATCCTCCTGACTACTCAAAAGGTTAAATGTGTATAAATAGATGACATTTTCCTATACTATGAAGAACAGTTGAATAATACTAAATGAATTGTTTTCCTTCTCAGGTACACTTATAAACTGACTGCTTTCTTGGTGTTAACCTTTTCATGCACAATCCCTTGAACTACTTATTATTAATTAATATGAGGAATATTATTAAATTTAAATTGATCATTCATGAAGACAAGGATGCAGAGTAAAAACAGAGAGAAGCAAAAGTTCTAAAAGACTATAGGGTCTACAAATAGGAATAATGAGAATGAGACAGAGGGGCCAGAAACCCGAGTAGTATGTAAACCTTCATCGTAATGTGGTTAACATACAAACTTGAAAATAGTCCTCATTTTACAGAGGTAAACTGAATGGGTCTGTTTTCTTGGAATCAAAAATACCAGACAAATGTATGTCAGAGCAATATTTCCAGTGACTTAATATCAGGGATCATGTGTCAATTATTTTGATGTTTGTCTCATCACTTGCATGATGTTATTGCCACAGCCATTTTGCAAAATGTCTAAGTTTTTAGACGATAAGTCATTTCTATTGTTTTAAAATTCCAGTTTGACACCTGGAAGTCTGCAAAAGCTTAACTTCCTTAAAGAAAGAAGGTCATGTCAATGATAGCGTCATATATGTCCGGGAAGCATACACTTCCTTAAATAACTCTAGGTGTGAGTGAACTCTGATACAAGAAAGGAACTAAATCAAAAAAGAGAATTACATGTGTGTTTAGTGGCAGTACCTTGATGATTTGAAACTGATGTGCACATTAACTAGAAATTTCACTAAGTTAACAGGCGGACATTCTCCCTCCCCCTGCCCCAAGTACGGAGTGATCCCCATTACTTTATACATAATCCTATGATTCTGAAAAACTGGTATGTTTTGGTGAACTCTTATACCAGCTGCATTATTCTAAAGTGATGGTGTATAAGGCATTGGAAAACCAAAGAACTAAATTGATTATGAAATTTTACATGGATAATAATCACTTTTAAGGAGACTGAAAAGGTTCGGTTGAATATGCTCAACTTCAGATAGCAGCCCCTGAGCAGCAGGTGATGGGGAAGGGGATGTGGGGGTGAACAGGTGATGGTTGCTCTTTAGTTTACCTCTTTTCCTTAGTCTTTTAAATGTGGGTTCAAGTCCATAGGGTAGGTAATTTAGAATACATCATCTCTCTACAGGTTACAAAGTGACTAAATCTGCACAGTTGAGGAGAAGCAGGAATGAATTCAATAAAAGCTCAACCCTGCTAGTAAGACCTCTGTAAATACAATGACAAAAATATTGCTTACAATTTCATCGTCTGCTATTTTACTTACATGTTTTTATACATGGAGCTAGAGAACAAAATTCAGCAGAAAGGCCAGGACTGGACATTCAATGAAAATGGCTCATTGACAGCTTTTATCTCCAAAAGCTTCATCTACATTATTTTGGGAGAAAATATCTTTTGAAACAGATAAACCATTAACTCAGGTTTCTAAACCTTTTTTATAGTATGGACCTTTTTGTCAGTCTGGTGAAGCCTAAAGACCCTTCTCAGAATAATGCCTTCAAACATATAAAATGAAATACAAAGAAATTGAAGGCAATCATCAAAATATTTAAAAATATGTGACTTATCAATGTATATGCTGATCTATTAATACATTAAGTAGTAGCAGATCTACTATAGTTTCATATTAGTGAAAAATGTCAATGTTATTTTACATTTGTGACATGTATTATGTGAAATGAAAATATCTGTGATTTCTATTAGTGACAAAATCATAGGTACTGCTAACACTATGATTGGTTGTTGCCTATATTTGTAGTTGATGAAAATTTTAAATTTCAGTCATCCAATAATACAAATAAACAGATGATTTTTATTTTCTCATCAAAGGACACTTCTGTCCACCTATCCTTTGCGATCCTTACCTAGGGTTAAAAACCTTGCATTAAGCACTCACAGAGTGGGACTGAGAATGCCCTTATATTAATCCTTGTAGGAAAGTGCTAATGTTCTGGTAAACGGAAAACTATTAACAGTGGCAGAATCCAGAAATAATTCTATTGGAAAAGGAAATAGCATTATTAAGTTACTGCCAAGTAAGTATGAGGCAACACTTATATACCAAATTGTCATTTCGGGGATGTTTAAAAATTTTTGTGTCTGCCCAAGTGTACCAGAGAAAATATAAAGCAAATTTTCTTTTGAACAAACCACCACAAATATCTCTGGATTTTTCAGAGCTAAGAGCTGCGGTTTCAATTTTTCGGGATTTCGTAGTTAGATAATAGTGCTGAGTATTTATAGGCTTCCTTATATAACTATAGTTCTATCCATTTTTCTTGTCAGAATAGTTTATTTTCTGTCCCTGCTCCTGTTTTCCTTGAATTTTAGTATTGGATTTACTGACTTTGCTCTGGCTCTCCTTCTTTTTATAGAACCATATTCCTCAAGTTCAATTTATTTTTAAGTTGGATACTTTATGTTTCCATTCCCTTTGGAGCTCTAAAAAGAACGTGTATTATTGACCAGATAAAGCTATTAAGGTAACTATTATGAAATTTCTTTTTAGGACTTTAGTCACCTTAATGGTTCTTTGGGGTTTAAGATATGCTCAAAGTAGAGTGCACCATAACCTGGGAGGAGCAGCCTGTGGCTATTATTTTCTACTCAGCATCTGCTCATTCTGGAACACTTGCAATCTGGCATTCTTCTCTACAGACACACAATTATATAAGGGCCATTAATGGTTTTAGCTTCCACATTAAAAGTATCTTTTCTTAGGCCTGCATTTTCTTGACCAGTTCCTATTCTGGAAACACTCTTTTCCTTGCTCTAATTCTGTATTCCTCTTCTGTTTCTTGGATTATCCTTTTATTTTATTTTTTTCGTACCTTTGCAAATAGAACTTCTTTTGCCTGATTTAAATTTTATCCTTAGCCATTTATACTTTTTACTCTCTTACTTTCTCCCTTGGCAATGCTATCTAATCTTATCACTTCATCATTCTCATGTGACCTGTAAATCTGAATCTTTGTTACCAATGCTTTCCTTAACTACAATATGCATTTTTAATAACTAGCTGTACTATCTTATCAGGATGTCCCAATTGCACCTAAAATTCAATATGCCTAAGCAGTGAAAAAGGTTGCTGTGCCCTCATTCTTCAGTTGAAGAAGATTGCTTTGAAGGTGGGAACTCAAAACATGTATTTGGCTTTATGACTTACATGCTGCTGGAAACCATTACTTCCAAGTGTGCTGATTCAGTTGAAAACTGCGGCTAGGGTCACACTAGCTGTTGCTGTCACTGCCAAACTCAGCTCCATAGTTGCCAGTCAAGTTTTATTGCAACCATTTGGAACCCTTGAGAGCTCAGGAAATCATGCCATCGTTTGAAAAATTGTGCACATTTGGTGAAAGATCAGGAACCATCTATATTCTTTCTTCTCTTCTGAGAAAGGCGTTTGTCTCTGCTTTTATCAGCAGTGTGATAAAAGCGGAAATCCCGGTGGTTTGTGCTATAATTTCCCCATTGTGAAATAACCAATTGAACCTCACTCTGACAGTCGGCCCAAAATTTCACCTAAGTACCCAAGAACGCCACATTAACATGTAGAAGATACTGTCTGGCCCACAAATTAACAATTTAACAGTGTTCCAACTTTCTAGTCCCAGGATGACTTCTTTTCTAGTAGTTTCCTAACAGAGAGGTTTTTTTGTGTTTTTTGTTTTGTATATATTTTATTTGGGTTGTCCCCCTGCTCCTTTTGTAAGGGTGAGGGTTGGAGTGATAGCTGAAAGAGTGATATTTTCAGTTTGAGAAAAATGCAATATTTTTCAATCATCCACTACAGTTCTAAATTTTATGAGAACTAAATCAAGTTATGCCGTTCTCAAACTCTCTTGATGTCTGAGTACTTCATCTTTCTTTGTCTTTGAACTGGAAAATATAAGAGCAAGTTTTAGCCTGGAGAATAAATGCAAAACTAAATTATAATCCCTGGACATATACAGTTTAGCACATAAGGGGAATGTTGAAATAATTTGAAAACAAAAACTTCTTACGGAATGTTTCAGTAATTATTTGCAATTAAATACAAAACTGTCAGGTAATGAGAATACGACTCCATTTGTTGGAAGTATTTAACAAGTCCCACATGGTCTATTTGAACATTTTGCAGATACTTGTTTGTCTTTCCTTTACTACATTATAACTTTAAGGTACAGTAGGTGAACCTTCAAAGTGTGATAATTCTGTACAAAACTGTTGTGTAACATTTGGAAAATCAGAGGCATCTGAAGGAAGATAGAACTTCCATGTCAGGCACAAATAATCCAATTTGCTTTTGTTATTGAGTCAATTTTTTGTGTTTATTGTTTCAAAAACTTCATCCTGCAGTAACGTTGAAATTGTTTCTTTCTTTATTGATATACTTGCATAGAGTTCTGGATTTTTTTAACTCACAAAAATATGTTTTAAAAGAAGTGAGAAATTAAGTTAAAATAATTATATATTCAAGTATATATGGTTACAGTTATTTGTAAATGTATCTCTATATATTTATAGGTAGATTTTAAATGTTATGCACCTCAGATTTACCCATAGTCAATTCCTTTATTTATTTATTTTTAATGTTCACAAAAGGTATCAGCCTGAGGCAAACTGTCCTTCTGTCCCACTGGAGTTTTGGATTAATTTTTATTTTATGTATTTCAAGCAAAGTAGAACAATCTTAAGTTAAATTAGCCAATGCTTTCAGAGACAAAAATCATTACCAAAGTACCCTGTTCAAATTTCTAAAACAGAGCAGATATTTGTTATATGGAATAAAATAGGATTAAAATTAAATATTTATTTTTCTTTGTTTCTCTTTGATTTCTTGTTACATTTACAAGTTAAAATCTATTCTGATGTTTTAAAAATCCCTTGTGATTGCACAAAAACATATTTATAAGATGAATTTTTAGTATATAAACATGGTTTGGCATGGACAGATCACAACCCCAAATGAAATTTCATGACTCTATATTGTTAAGGCCTAAAAGATAAGATATACTAAAGGTGCTATCACATGTTGGTTAAATAACAATCTTAACTCATCCACTAAATATTAAGATTCTTAAAGACAAAGGATCTGTTTATTCTTGAGGATAAACAAAGGATGTGTTTATTCTTGAGGATTCTCAAAGGATCTATTTATTCATCATTTTCTTTGTAAAATTCTCATCTCTACCACCCCTCCTCTTTCTGTTTGAGTATATACTATACATTCTTATGGTCTCGGCTTTCATGCCACTTTCCTAACTCCCCCAAACAAAAGGCTTCCCTGTCATAGGCTCCCTCTTTTTTGCCCTCATGGCACTTACCATATCTTATCATTAAATAATACATAATTCTTTTTTCTCTCTCATTAATCTGTATATTCTATGAGAGTAGGAACTGAATTCATTTCAATTACCATTGTTGTCCCGGCTTTAGAGGGTGAAACAATTTGTTGAATGAATGAGTTTATTCATGTATGTTCTTGTAATCTTGTACACAGTTACGCTAAGAAAAGCTCAGTAAATATTTGTGGCTAGTTTATTTGATCATATAATTGAATACATTCACTATATTGCAACATCAGACTTAGGCAGTTTTCTTGTAAAACTTATGTGTGTTTTCATTCTAATTTTCACTTCCTTATAGACACCTTTTTTAAAAAAATTATTTACTTCAGAATTTCTCTATGTTTTCCTTTTGTCTTGTCACAGCTGGATAGGGAAGAGTAGGAATTTAGTATTATATTATATAAAACTATAATCTCTGACCACTTTTTAAGAAAATACTGGAATTATTAATTCTGCTCTTGTAATTCACTAAAATCACTGCAAACATTCATTTGCTTGTCATTCGCTAAGATACCTGATCAAATAACAGTGACATCTTACAATAACTGCAAACATACAAAAAGATAAATCAAATTGGGTATTTGTAGTTCATATGTTTTGATAGCCTTTTACAAAAAACACAGCAACTATCTCCTATAATGATTTTGGGTAAATAATATTTATTTAAACTTATATTAATGCCACAGGAATTTTTAAACTTATGTATCTGTAAAACATGGTATGTAGGCATTATACCTAACATCTACACTGCTTGTTCTCAAGGACATACACTAATTTACTAAAGAAGGACAAGTTGTTTGCATAAATAATAAAACTTAAAATCACACATTATGACAAAAGAAAAGGTGAGATATACAGGTATTTTTTTTTCAAATAACTAAAAAATCCTATGTATATATATTTATGCAATTATTTCTTTATAACAGTTATTGACCTAGGTGTTTTACTAGGTATTTTAGGTATTTTACATATGCTATGAATTTTAATCTGCCTATCAATCTACATCCATCAAAAGATAGTATCAATTCCATCTGCAGATAAAGAATCTGAGGCTCAGAAGGGGCAATGTACTTGTCAGGACATATAGTTACAAATAGAAAATGTTTAAACTTCCAGTTCTATTTGAATGTAAAGCCTGCACTCTTTCCTCTTATGCTGTTGTCACTTGCCAAGGCCACTCATCAAGTGTAAGTGTTTTTAATATGTAGAGTATAATAACAGCATCCCTTTACCCTACAAAAAACAGGATCATATCATGCTTAGGGCTGCAGGCTCTGCAACTGCAATGCCTGGGATTAAGGCCAGGTTCTGAAGTTTACTAGCCAGGCCAACCTATGCAAATTAATCACTCAATAGCTCAGTCTGCTCTATAAAATGGAATCAGTAGTAAAGAGTATCTAGTACAAAGAATGCTGAGAGGATTAAAAAATCAATATTTAAAGTACTTAGGAAAGTGCTTGACACATAGTAATGCTTAAAATCAACATACATGAACTGGTGAAAAGATACAGTTTAGTAAACAAAAAAGATTTGCCTGTCATTATTTATAAATTTGTCTTTTAAAAAGCAATAATTAAATATTGAGCATAACAATACAAATCTCATCATGTATTTATCTCTACAATGTTTCAGCAATTTTCAGTGAACAAGTATGTACTTAAACAAATATACTTGGTAGTACACATTGATATCAAAAGAAAGAATATAGGGGCTGGGCACCGTGGCTCACACCTTTAATCCCAGCACTTTGGGAGATTGAGGTGGGCGGATCTCCTGAGGTCAGGAGTTTGAGATCAGCCTGGCTAATATGGTGAAACCCCGTCTCTACTAAAAATACAAAAAAAATAGCCTGGCGTGGTGGCAGGCACCTGTAATCCCAGCTACTTGGGAGGCTGAGGCAGGAGAATTGCTTGAACCTGGGAGGTGGAGGTTGCAGCCAGCCGACATCGCACTACAGCACTCTAGCCACCTGGGAGACGGAGAGAGACTCCGTCTTTAAAAAAAAAGAAAAAATATATATATAATATATCTTTTTTTCATATATAGTATATATTTTATATATAATATATATTATATATATTTTATATAATATATATTATATATATTTTATACATAATATATATTATATATATTATATATAATATATTTTATATATAATATATATTTTAACATATATTATATATTTTATATATAATATATATTTTAACATATATTATGTATTTTATATATAATATATATTTTAATATATATTATATATTTTATATATAATATATATTTTAATATATATTATATATTTTATATATAATATATATTTTATATATTTTTAATATATAATATATATTTTATATATTTTTAATATATATTATATAAATATACACACAGTATATATTGTCTATGTTTATGTGCTTGGAAATACTAGCTAATTTATAATTATGGCTAAAACAGTTAAAGCTGCTCAAATAATGAGATAAGAAAATATTAATTTACCACTTTCAAAATATATTCATAGGTATTATTTTAATATCCTTATCACAGAATTCTTAAACAACTATATAATTATCTAGATTATTTTATTAAATTTGCAAAAACTGGATAATTATGATATTTGGAAACATCACTTAGTCCTTACTAGAAGATTTTAGTTTTAATTTTTAGTAAAACCCTCTGAGATCACCCAAGTGTTTTTTTGTTTGTTTGTTTGTCATAATTGTTTGTGGATGTTGCATTATAAGAGCTCCCTTGAAATCTGTCTTACTTTCCCAAAGTAGTGCCAGTGATAAAAATGAATTTGAGTGGCATTCCTGAAATTTAATAATGTCATATTTAAACAACCAGGAGGGAAATGTATACAGGTATTGTGGGCCACATAGTCCAATAAATGAGAACAATCCTAGTTATTTTTAGATTAGTTAACTAAAGTGTTATTAATTTTCATTGCACTTAATCTAGTTTAAACATCATGTTCAGTTAAATTTACATGACAAAGCTTATCTGTTCTTATGAGAATAGTTTTCTCATTCCAATTCATCATCATTTTCAAGCTGTTTATGGAAATAACTGTCAGAACACTTGAGCTTATAACATTTAAAAGGAATGAGGGTCTGCGCGCAGTAGCTCATGCCTGTAATCCCATTACTTTGGGAGGCCGAGGTGAGAAGATCATTCAAGGTCAGGAGTTTGAGACCAGACCAAAGTGCTGAAACCCCATCTCTACTAAAAATACAAAAAAAAAAAAAAAAAAAAAAATAGCCAGGAGTGGTGGTGCGTGCCTGTAGTGCCAGCTGCTAGGGAGGCTGAGGCAGGAGAATCACTTGAACCCAGGAGGCAGTGAGCCGAGATTGTGCCACTACACTCCAGCCTGGGCGACAGAGTGAGACTCCATCTCAAAATAAAGAAATAAATAAATAAAATGAACAAGGGAATTAAATTAGGACTTTAATTAGAAGAATTGATGTAATGGTGTGATAAATACTACAGGAACATCTAAATGATTTTCACATATTAAACGTAATTTTATGTAAAATATAAAAATAATAAAACTTAACCAAACCTTGTAATAAATAAATAAATAAATAAACTAAAAAAGAATTGAGATCTTCCAAAGTAAATAAATTGTATGAATCACATCTAGAAGTCTAAACTGAAATTATTTAAATCAGAAATATGTATTATTGCCTTAACTCCCCTATAAGTATAATTAGAAAATAATTACTTAAAAAACTACAGGAAACTTTTTTTGCCTAGTATTAAAAGGTTTATTATTAACATGAAATAATTTCATTGTTATTGAAAATGTTCAATAGGTAATTGATTTGCATAATAATTTTTACCATGTAATTTTGCAACAGGTCATAATAGAGTTAGATATAAATTTATTCCTTACAAAGTAAAGGTGCTTAATAGCTAAATTAATTAAAGACACACATTACAGTAAATAATTCACAGTTATTTTTGTAATATTTATCAAGGTAATATCTCAACAAAAACATCTTGCTTTTAATTGTTTAACTTAAATATATTTGAGTTTTTAAAATGTGGTATATCACTAGTTTTGAAAATATTTCATTTAATTGTATTGGCAAAGGCAGCCTTAATATACAGTTTAAAATTGAAAGTCTGGTAAAAAATGAGGGAAAGGCTGCCCTCTGGGACATGCATGATACAAAGTCCAGAAGAAAGGTTGTCAATCATATTCCAGGGTAGAAACCAGCACAGGAGTTATCATCTATGTATTGTCAACAACTTCCAAGATCTTACCTTCAAGCAGCTTAGAGCTGGTACCACCTGTAACCTGTAGGTGCTTATATGTACCCCACAGTAAGCAAATTCTCTAAGTTCTCCATGTGCAAAACTAAATCATTACCCCTTTTTACTCTAGATTTTCTAAAATCTCTTAAGAGACTACAGAAAAAAGTAGAACCATATCCTAAGAAACCTAGACAATAGACAGAATAAAGATCCTTAATTTGTTATATGTCCTTAAAATTTAATAAAATAAAAGCAAACACCCCAATAGGAAAATATTTTAGGGAACTCTCTAGGTGACTCTTTCTGATCTCTTTGTCAGCACACGGAGAATACAGGAAATGCTAGAATGCCAGATCATATGACAGTTGAAGGGAGGCATGCCACTATCACATGCATCTTCAAAGAGATGTCTGAATTTAAATATAAATGTTGTATCAATATAAAGTTAATTCACAGAAAAGCAAAGGTTTTCATTAAACACAACATGAAAAACTGGTTGGAAGACACTAGGCACAAACTAATGACAGGGCAGGGGCCTCTCTCCCTCTTTCATAGCCTTACTGTCTGTCTCATAAACCCTTCATCCCCAGCCTATCCACTCGACCTGTTTCCCTATTCCTCCATGCCCTAGAGCTCCACATTCTAGGTCTCCTCTTCTAGGATATCCACACCCTCATGTGCCACTTCTTAGACTCATTCATCACTGCAGAGTGACACTCATTCCTAGGCAGGGTTCTTATGATATGTCCCCCATTCAATCCTCCTTTTAGGAAAATGGGAAGGCTTCTCCCCCGCAATTGTTCCCCTAGTCAGGCCTCCTATGGGTCAGAGGTGGTCTTACCCTGCCTAGACATGCTCTAATCCAGGTATTGTTTTAATCTATGCCGAAGTTCCTTCCTGGAAGGTTCTCTATTCAGGTACAAATTCTCTATTTTTGCTGAATGAAGGTGAAATAGTCACTGACATCAGTTTTTTTGTTCATCATAATATTAATAAGATGTTCACTGACAGACATCTTGGAGGTGCTTTTTAGCACAACTTCCAGTGTTGACTGAGCAGCCATCTTCAAATTCCATGAAACAGAAATGGATGCAAGTGCTGTGCCTGGGACAGGCCAAAGAGAAGCTGAACCTGAGCTTGAGTTAACTTAGTGGGTGATTAGTTAAATGCTTCACGGGAAGGTTTCTAGGTTAGTTGGTTGGATGACTATTGGTCTAGTTGGCTGTATGGTCAACCTACTTACTCAGCCTTCCCTTTCCATCCTTCTGTGCCCTGCACCTTTCTTCATCAACTCATGCTCAATGTCCTTCCTCAATTACTTTAAGCTTAGAAAGTTTTTTTTTTCCCAATTCAAGATTTCTCTATGATATTCAGAGTTTAATTATTTTGTGTGGTTTGTCAGGACTACAGTAATGAGCATCCCATTTTATATCATTATTTTATTTATATATACTTATATATCATTCAACAATATTTCCTATTTTATTTTATAAATACCATGGCCAAAGAGAAAGAAAGAAAAAGAAAATGAGAAATACATTTCTTACTATGGCTGAAGAGAAAGAACTATGTGGTATGTGTCTGTGTCTGTGATAAAGAATGGACGTGTCATGTATATTCATGTTTATATTATACCTCTCTATTTAAACAGGTATCTCAGTCTTGAGGAAAATACACTGAGTGGGGAATCAGAAACCTGTAGCACTGCTTCTCTCACTAAATAGCTGTGAAAGCTTGGGCAAACAACATCAGGTGTGTCTCAGTTTGTGCATCTGAAGTCTCATCTGCATCTACATTTGGAATTTGCATAATGTTGTTGTGGTGCTCAGATCATACGATATACATCGAAGCAGTAGCAGTATGAACTTTCCTCTAATTGTCCAACAATTATAAGGCTATAGCACTAGTATTACTAACCTGTGTTTGGGCCCATTTTAGGCCCCATCCCATTGACTTTAGTCCTGTTACTACTTTTTTCCCAGCTTTTTTTTTCTTTTTTAGGTAAGTGGTGCTTTCTGCCTCTTTGTAAACACTTAAGGCAAATAACTGCCCTGTCATTTGATGCATCATTTCAAGACCCTACTTTCTTCAGCTTCCAATAAGACAAATAAATAGTGTGCAACATTCTTGCTAGCGTGTGGGACGGCCCAAATGCATCCTCCTTTATTTTTACGTTTTATTTATAACAGAGGCTAACTGATTTATTTTATTTTTATTTCGTTTCTTTTAGAGATGGGTTCTCACTGTGTTGCCCAGGATGGTCTTGAGCTCCTGGGCTCCTCTTGCTGAGGCCTCTAAAAGTGCTGGGATTACAGGCATGAGCCAGTGTGCCCTGTCTATCTGGTTTCAATGCCCTGAATTTACTCTCAGAACCAAAGTGTCACTTTGGTGGTAGAAATTTCAGTCATATGCATAATCATAAACCAAAATGGGATTCGTGGAACTTGAGTATCTGAGGAAATGTTATCATTCTTTTCAGGTCACAAGATACCATTTCTATGCATATTGTGCACTAAATGAGACACCCTAGAGAATATGTGTGCATTAATAACATACCACAAATATGAAAAGTGCCATTTCAATGGATTATGCACTCTGAAGGCAAATAATATTGATTTTGGCCCAGATTTCAAAATAAATTTAGATGATGTACATAAAAATATATATGCATACATATATGTGTGTGTGTATACATACACACACACACACACACACACACACACACACACATACACACACGTGAATACTTACTGTATTGACAATTTCTTCCCATAAATTCGCCTGGGCACTCACAGGAATAGTTAGCAACAAGATCTGTACATATTCCACCATTTTTGCAAGGCTCAACTTCGCATTCATTTATGTCTAAGAAAAACAGAAAGGACAGAGGAAGAGAATTATTGGTAAAAAATGATTAGATATTGGAAAGTTTTAACATTTGAAATACAAATGTCTTAGTAATGCTATTCCTTTGTGTGTGTGTAGGCATGTGTGTGTTTAGTCAGTAATACAAATGCTGCTTAAAACCAACAATTTAATAACCATTATATTTAATCAATTTCAAATAAAATTCAGAATACAGACGAAAGGCCAATGGAACTAAACCACTCTCCCATTCTGAAAATAAATATGAGTAGTCTGGGGAAATATTCAGTGTATCCTTAGAATTAAATCAAACAAATTAACCCTGATAGAAAGATGAATTGGTTTCACTTACAAGATCGAGAAACCTCCCCTGCAGCAACAACTGCCAATTAACACTGTCTCATTTCATCTTAATTCATTACAATTCTAACTGACAGAGATGTTTTAGTTTCTAAATAGTTCGTCTTTGATGAATACGATGAGAAGCAAATTAGAGTTAATAGCTAAAGCTCGTTACATGCAAAGTATAATAAATGTAAATGGTGATCACTTCCTAATCTCATTCAAGGATTTCTAAAGTGAGGATGACTAAAGGGACTTACCTTTGATATACTACTATTACATCTGATGCAAAATCACATGAAACATAAAACATCGAGCAAATTATACTACTTTCCTTGCTAATTTTGGACAACAGAGAAAACAAATATGACTTTGAACACAAAAGAAACAATGACTAATTCAATCAATCACAGATATTCACAAATCATTCCCTTTTAGCAAAGCACCATGCTGGATTCTGTGGGAGCCAGTACAGTAGTTGGAGAGCACACACCACTCCCCATCTCTTCCTCATCCTATGAGCTATTCCAGTTGAGCTCCCTATCTGCTTTCATTTCCATAACAGTTTGTTGTTGTTGTTTTTAACTGTATTACAGACTTGGAAATTGTCTGTTTATATTTAGCCCCTTTCACCTTGTCAGAAAGTGAGCTCCACAAATGAAGTTCCTATCTTGCCCTGTTCCTTGTATTCCTGAAAATGCCACACTCCATCTGGAAAACTACTGAGGCTCAATAAATGTTTCCTGACCAACTTTCTACCAAAACAATAGAAATAGTCATGTGCACAATCTTAAAACATTTTATTCCAGATTTGTAATGTGCCTTCTGATACCCTATAACATATCAAATGATAGTTCTGAAGTCTTGGGCTATTACAGTTGCTTAAAGCAAGAAGATCATTAAATTACTTCTAAAAGGAAACAAGGAAAAAAGTATTTGAAAATCTCAATTTTGCCCTTTCTTTTGACATTTTTTTTTTCTAATTAGTATCCCCTCCAGAAAGCAGAGTTGGTCAACTTCTCATTCTAAGTTCACTGTAGAAAGCCTGGTCTAAATTTCCTTAGGTAATAACTTTCTCTCAAAAAGCAGCCCTTTTGGTTTCTGGTTGACAATCATAGCTTAAGAACAGAGATAATTCATGACTGTGTTCAGAAAAAATAAAAATAATTTGAGTACCTCATAACTTCAAATAATAGGATAAAATCAGAATCTGCTAATCTCTAAAAAGATGGATCTGTGTGCTGTAAAGTATGATAGACTCAGCCGGGCGTGGTGGCTCACACCTGTCATCCCAGCACTTTGGCAGGCCAAGGCGGGTGGATCACAAGGCCAGTAGTTCAAGACCAGCCTGGCCAACATGGTGAAACCTTGTCTCTACTAAAAATACAAAAATTAGCTGGTGTGGTGGCGTGTGCCTATAATCCCAGCTACTCAGGAGACTGAGGCAAGAGAATTGCTTGAACCCTGAAGGCTGAGGTTGCAGTGAGCCAAGACTGAGCTACTTCACTCCAGCCTGGGCAACAGAGCTAGACTCTGTCTCGGGGGAAAAAAAGTATGATAGACTCCTAAATATTTGATACTGAACCTGTACAAAAATGAAGGATGGATGGGAGGGAGGGAGGGAGGCAGTGAGGGAGGGAAGGAGGGAGGGAGGGGAAAGAAAAGGTGAGTATAAGTCATTTCTTTCCTTTTTAAAAATATAATAAAATCTCAGCTCTCTTTGATCTTATCAAAATTTCACTTAGTCTTAATATTAAACTATATTTATATTGGACTAACACACAAACCATTTTCATTAAATTTTGTAAGCCACATGAAATGCTACTTATTGTTGCCAACTCAATTATGCATGACAATAACAATGTTTGGCTACCTTGGAACATGCCCAATATGTCTTAACCTGTATCCTCTCTACTACAATTTGTTTTAGATGAGAACGTGTAACTGGTTAATGTCTTCATATCTTAGAGAAAACACTGCCGTATTTTGTAAAGTTAGATGCAAAAATTTATTCTCATATATACTTAGAGAGAGGAAACTAAGTGGTCATGTCTGAAGGACCCACATAAGCAAAAGATAATTTGATCTTAGACAAGAAGAAAAAGTTTAATTAAGACTAATAAGGATGTGATATAGATGACAGTCAATTTCCAAGCAGGGAGCCAGAATGAATCACAACTTTGAAGAAGAATGTTCATGATATGATCGTGTGTTTAGGTACAGGAGTAAAGCATTTTGGAGCAGAGAAGATGAAGGAGAGTGCTAGAATCCCATGTCAGAGAATGTAGATAGGGAACAGATTATGATGAACCCTTAGTGCAGGCTGAGGCAACTGCGTTTTATTTTTTTGGCAATGAACATTTGGAGCAGGATGAGAAGGATTAAAGGGTATTTCCTTCACCCTTCTACTTTAGAAGAACCTAGTGAAGCCATATGTGAGATGGACTTGAGAAATGAATAAAGGAAGATGGGACAGAAACCCACAAAAGATTTGATGTTAATAGGTACAACATATATTTTAAGTCTCATGTAAGAGGCTCTATATATTTTCTCATTTTAAGATTGAAATATATCATGAGTAAAATCAAACCCAGCTCTTGCTGATTTGTAATGTTAATAGAAGGAAGTTCTCATAGCCAGTGTGAGAACAATCAATAATTATTATACATACTATTAACGATACAAAGACACTGCTGTTTTTTGCCTCCTTAAATCTTCCAAGTCTTTACACCGTAAGTAGTAATTAAAATATGTGAGCGTAAATCTAATTGAGACAAATCAACCTTTAAACCTTCCAGTTATAGGCTCATCAGGCCCCATCTATAAATCATCAGCAAAGCAAGTTATAATTAAGGACATCCGATTCTAAAAAATCAACAGTTAACACCTTTACCCAGAGGTTAAGATGAAGTGGAATGAATTGGAATGCATTTGCTGAAATGGAAATGCTTTGTAGACACACTCAATTTGTGATAGAATGACCTTTTCATTGTTTAAATGTGCATTTTTCAATGTTTTTAAAACTCAAAAACTACTTAAATCTAAATTCATAAAAATATACATGTTATCTTAAGTTATCCATATTTTTTAATACAGTAGCTAAGTTAGTAAAACATTTCTGCATAGGTACATACCCAGTAATACACAAGCTTAGAAGACAGTTGCAAATTACACAGAAGCATTTACGTATTTGTATAATGCAGGAGTTCTTTCAGCAGTGAAGGCTATTTGCACTGTAATTAACACTGCAAGCAATCTAAATGGAAACTGACCTCAATTTGTATAAATCATGTTTAATTAAAGACTAGATAAAAACGTTCACAGAATATAGTGCAATGAAATGAAACTTAAACATATTTGCAATAAATAACATACACCTATCTTCGTCACAGATCAAGACATTATCATTGCCAGAAAAAAGTCCACATCCATTCCAAATATACTACTAGGTTATACCATTTAATTAATGAAGAAAAAACTGATAAAGTAGCCCCCATATGAAATAGAAATTTCCATATTTGGTCAGATTTATAGTTTATTTATAATAATAATATCATTTATAAGGTCTTGCTTCATAAAACAGCTTCAAAATATGACTTTATAATCAAGACAGTCAGCTGAGTCCTGAAGTTATAAAACTTTGCTGCCAACCTTCTTGTGTCACTGAGGCACAGTGATGAGAGCTGCACATGAGTTTCCAGGTATAAACTCATGACTCACCCTTGTTTCCTGAAATTATATATAATATATATAATTTCATATATATGAAATTATGAAATATATATTTCATAATTATATATATTATATATAATATATTACATATATGCGATATATATGTATTACATTTTGTTTTGATTTTTTGGTGGAAGAAGAAAGAAGAAGAAAGAAGGAGAAGAAGGAAGACAGAGGACAGAAAATAATAAAAGGTAAATAGTTGAATTTCTCTGAAAGGAAACACAAATTACTTTGAACCAAAAAGTACTTTACAAGTATTCCCAGTTCCTTGCCTCTGTTATAACTAATTACACAGATTCATTGATTTTATATGCATAACTCAGACTCTTTATCGGTATGTCATACATAACCCACATTACAGATTTGTAAATGTGTTTGATCGTCCTTCTCTTTGGCTTGGGTTTTTTCCTAGCAGAAATGCACACTCTGGAGATTTCGCTGTGAGAAGCCTACTCCAGTAATTGACAAACTACTCATATATATATATATATACACATATATATATATATATATATACATAGATCTATCTATCTATCTATCTATCTATCTATCTATCTATCTATCTATCATATTGAGCACTCCTCCCTTAGGCAATTCACCTTATGCACATCCACATCCTGAGAAATGCTCAGTTACACCTGGTCTTCTTTGTCCTGGATCTTTGTCAGAACCATTATTGTACAGATTATAGCCAAAAGCCCATGAAATTGACTTTGGAGTGGTAGGCTGTCAAAGAGTTTTTAAAATGGAAATTATATTTGTTAATTCCTTATTGGTGCCTTCAAAACAATGCATTGTCTGGGCATGACTTCTTGTCACAGAAACTGTGTGGCTTCTTCTCAGAGAATTATATTGAAAAATTCAATAATCTCATTCTTCATTACAGATTCCGCTAGTTGGCCAGAGATGAAACAGAGAATTCTTGAGTCTAATTCCCAGGAATCTCCATCTCTGGAGACTTTTAAAACTAATTAGTAAGTAATTAATTAGTTTGTTTTCAACTGGCTCACCTTTGCAATCTGCAGAGTAGGAATGGTAGCAGTTTTCACTTCTGGGACATCATTATCCCAGTTCATCCTTGAGTTCTCTCAGAACTCCTCAGGAAAATGCCATCTGTCCTCAGTAGTTTAGCTACATTTAATTCACCAACATGGCTTAGATATTTTGAATACTGACCACCATTTGGACCAGGACATCTAATCCTTCTGGGGATAGATATCTATCTAACCTCCTCCTAGAGAAGACAAAGACAATGTATTTCAACCATAAATCTATCTCCTCTTCATAAGTAAGTACATTGAGGCCCCCAAGAACATCAAGAAGGAACATGGTTCTTGGGCTGAACATACTTTTTTGGATATATTAAAAGGAGACAATGATAGACGGTGCCCCCCCCCCCAAGCTTTTTTTTCTTTTGCGAAGACAAATTTCTCAACTTCTTTATGTCTTTCCCTTGGGCTATCTTTCCTCCGGCAATATTGTTATTGACTGCTAATTGCTTGGCAAGACCTTATTTTTCAGAGCCTGCTATTTTTTGATCCTTAACAACACATCTTCCCTGGGCTCCCCATTAGCTATTACATATTCTCCAGACCTCCCATGAGTGATTGCCTTTTAAAGTTTGACCTTTTATATTTTTCCTTATTTAAAGCCTATGATCTTTCAATTTCTCTTTAAAGATTGAATTTCTATTTAAGATGAATTTCTAGGAATTTGATTCTCCCACTCAGATGCTGAACTTAATTATGTCACAATCAGAATTATCTAGATAATTTATTTCCCAGTCACTTCTGTGACCAGTTTAGTATATATTTGAATCTTCTGTTCTTGAACTCCCTTTTGATGTGGCTTTCTGCTATATTACTAGTAATTCATTTTAAAGTGGCTAATTAAAATCAGCATTATTCAGTCAGAACGTATCACACACAAACCTTTTATAATAATTTATTGATAACCTTCACTTACAAGAACAGTAGCATAACAAAAGCCCCAAATCCAAGAGATATTTATCCATTGTCTCCATCTAATAAAGATCATATTCTCTGTCCATCTCTATCCTGACATCCTAGTATTTATTTTAAGATCTTTATTTAGATGCAAATGCCTTTGATACTAGTACGCAGGCAATATTCATCCCAATTATCTGGGTTGTTTATATTAATTATTCCAATAAAGTTTTATTTGCATTTACACAGATATTTGGCCAGTATGACAAGACAGCTATTCCAAGGGATATAAAAGCCAAAATGAGGGGAGGTAGAGGAGGGGTTATCAAGAGGGTGTTATGTCTCTATAACTCAAATATTTGATGACTTTAAATATATATATATATGCAGAGGCCAGTAAGAACAGATGCCTCTTTCAGTAAACATTTTCACAAAAGAGCAAACCACAACAAGGGATGTTACCTCAGTGGCATGTAGCATAGTCACTGGCCCTGCAATAAATATTTGTTAATTGGTAAGAAAGAACCGGGAATATTAGTAACCTTGGGATCATCATGTATGTACTGTACCAGTGAGTCCCTTGCTTGGGGCAGGTGCTCCAGCCTATTTCTAATGGGATTCTATTAAGGAAAAATGAAATTAGAGCAATGCTTCATTTAAAAGTTGGAGCTCTTAAAGCATATCAATGCACAAGTCATGCACTTAGAGATTGTGACTTAAATGGTCTTGGGAGAGACAAAGGGAGTAATATACTTTTTAAAAGGCATTCCAGTGACTCTGAAGCATAGCCAATGTTTGCAAACACTGAACAGAACCTCTGCTTATGAAGCACATCCATCCATCCACCCTTCCTTCTTTCCTTGCCTCCCTTCCTCCCTCCCACCCTTCCTCCTTTCCTTCCTTCCTTCCTTCCTTCCTCCCTTCCTCCCTTCTTTCCATGCATCCATCCATCCTTAGTTCTACACTAGGTACTAAGAATGCAACAATTAATATGTCACAATCTGTAATGTTTCTGAAGCTCTTACAGTAGAGTAGATAGACAAGGAAACAATCAGTTACAGTGTAAGGTAACAAGGGCTATAACAGGAAAATGCACAGACTCTCAAAGGAACTCCAAATATCAAAACTAAATTGGTCTGGCAGACTAGGGGATGTTGAGTTTTAGAGAAGGAGTCTAGCTGACTAGGGAAAAGTGCTTTTGAATTACATGGAGTTATAAATAGTTGACTCTGTAAAGTTATTTTTCTAAATTAATGTGTATTTCATTTTTCCTGGTATCAGTTGTCTGCAGATCTAAGAGTGACTCCTCATTGTCCCATAGTTCTTTTCTCCAAGTGTGTAAGGTATATATTTCCTGGTTTCCTATTTTTATTATTATTTATACAATTGCATATTTTAATGTTTTATCTAAAATTAACTACTCTATTCTTTCAGCTGCATGTCAAATTAGTTCTCTCTCTGGTTTTAGCAGTCAATCTTAATAATCAACCATTTTGGAGTTTTTCCTATAGTGAGTTATCAGAAACCCCAAACTGGCTTAGGTGAGATAGGATTTGTATTAGAAGCTCAGCTATGATTCACATAGCTTGACTTTAACCATTTGTTCACTCATTCATTCATTAGAATTCTGAGAAGCACTTTCCATGAATCAGGCATTAAAATACATAATTGGATATATCTGTAAATAGAAGCAGCTCCTGTTCTAAGAGATCATTCATTTTCTATTCTTCTACACAGGAGACAGACAATTATAATACAATATGGTGAAATATGTGCTTTAGAGCATTATGTACAAAATGTACTAAGATTATAGAAAAAGCAGTAGTTTTGCCTAAAGGAGATATGGAAGATTGCTTGCAGGAGGTAATACATTTGGTGCTTAAAGGATGAGCAGGAGTTTTTATAGCTGTATTAAATTAGGAAGAAACACAAAGAACATATTTTCAGAGAGAGCTGAGCACTTTGAATTTCTGAAGCATGCACAGGGACTGTGCGAGGGGATACTCTGCATAATGGCGACCATGTAGTCTGGGACCAGATTTTTATGGCCGTATCAATCAACTTAAGGAGTTTGAACTTTAGTCCTTGGATACTGGAGAGTTAATAGAGAACTCAAGAAGGGTGGAAGGGGACATGGGATTGAATAGATCTGCATTTTAGAAGCTCATTCACATTCTCTAAAATTTCATTACTGGTATCATTTTGGAAAAATAATTCAAAAAGTGAGAAGGGAAATTTATGTTGAGTCCATATCACTCAGACTAGGTAGTAGGATGGCTATAATCACGTTTGGTATGTTTAAATACTTAGCTTGGTTCGAAATGTATATAGACTTCCTAATATTTACGGTTGCTAGATTTGGTAAATAAAAACAGAGAGTGTCCATGCAAATATTTGAGACATATTTATAAGAAAATCTTTGTTTATCTGAAATTCAAATTTACCTGGGCACATTTATCTAGAAACCCTACCTGAATTGTCAATTGGATGTGATTTCTCCCTATTTTTTCTTCCCTTTCCTATGAGCATTTTAATTTTCAGCATATGGTCATGCTTTACATTTTGTATATTCAGCAAACCCTAACAAAAACTACCTACAGTGGAAAATCATTATGGACCAAGAATCTTCCTTAGGCTTTTGCTGAAATTAAAATTTGTTGCTTGCATTCTGTTTATAATTTTACAGTTTACCTCTACATAAGGTTTAATAATACAAGTATAGCCAAACAGCACTACAGGATGGCAGTTAATGGATAACAATTAGCACATCCTTCCACTTGTAGATTACTTATTATGTACCAAACACTGTTCTAAGCCTTTTATATGTATTAACACAGTCTACAAGCTAAATGTTATTATTATTATGCCTGTTTTACAGATGAGGAAATCAATAAACTGAAAGTGTAAATAAGTTGCCCAGAGTCACACAGGTGGCCAAACTGAGATTAAAGCCCAGATAATTTAATTTGTCTCCAGAATCTATGCTAATCACCCATATGTTTCACCATCACTAGGGAATATTAGTACTCCCACTTCATCACCTCTTCTTACCAGCCTTCAAGGTATTATTTTATGTGCTAAGAAGGACAGATATAGGATAACACATAGTCCTTGTTCTCAAAACGTTGATAATAACCTAATATTGGCATTTCTCCTCTAGGTTAAAGACTCCAGTCCTAAAATGTTAGTTTGGAATACACTTTTCCCCAATCCCTTTATTCGTCTTAGTAATTTCCTCAAAATCCTAAGTGGCTTGGGTTTAATGGGCATTTGTTCCCTTTTTATTCCTGAAATCCACAACCACTTGCTTATGTAAAAATGAATTTCC
The DNA here is from genome assembly GCF_000001405.40 of Homo sapiens. NCBI lineage: Eukaryota > Metazoa > Chordata > Mammalia > Primates > Hominidae > Homo > Homo sapiens. The sequence goes on from NC_000005.10 coordinate 84,146,706, forward strand.
TTGCCTCCTACAGTCTTTTATACATATCTTTTAACTTTACACTCAGATGAAAGGAGTTACATTTGTTACACAATTTCCTTTTTAGAGGGCATTGATATATTTCATACCTATAGAATTAAAATTTTGTCATTTTTTTTCTCGGTCACAATTCACCTTATGTAAAAATGTTTGAAAAATAGCATATATACTTAAAAGGACACAAAACAGTAAAGTTACAAGAATTATTATAAAGAGACAACCCATATAACAACCACCAAGGGCAAACACCAGAATCCTGCCAGCAGTCCAAAGCCTTCATGTGCCACATTCATTCAAACCCTCCCCTACACCCACATAAAGGTGACAGATCCCCTGCTTGGTATGGAAGTCACAGACTTGCTCTTTGTATAGTTTATAATTTCGTCTCCTAAATATTTATTCCCAAAGAGTTTATTTTTGCCTGTATCTAAACTTTATAGTAAAAAAAAAAATTCTGTATGTGATCTTCTGTTTGTGGCATCTTTCAAAATGTTGCAGGTGACTGCAGTGAGTTCATTTTCACTGCAGAGTAGAGAAATTGCTCTAGAGTATTTTACCATAAAATGTACCATATGCTTTTTTCTTTCTATGGCTAATGGCATTAGTAGTGGTGTTGGAAATAAAAGCATCAGGGAACATGCATGTACATATCTCTTGACAAACAAGTATGTTGAATTTTTTTTTCTGGGTACACTTAGGAGTGAAATGGAGGAGTCATAATAATGCATATATTTAACTTTAATAGATAATACCCAACTGATTTTAAGGTGGTTATGCCAATTTGCACTCTTATCACCAATTAATACCACTTTTGAAGATACAAACTATATGAAACTTGCAGGTAACCACTATTTCACTTTATGTGGAAGTGGAGAGTGGAAAGGCTTAACACCAATAAATCTTTTTAAGATACGTTTTTACCAAGTGGGGCTTTTAAGGGAATGAAATAAAACCTTCAGTTCACCAAGTTCAATTACATTTTTTTTCTTCAATGACCTTAACTTAAAAAAAAAAACACCTCACACTAAAAATGCCTAACCACTGAAAGCTTGTAAGTAATGTTACATTTCAATAACAGGCACTGATACACAGTTAAATTTTGTTATACAGAAAGATAATTTTGCCTAACCCTTGAATTAATTTCTTAAAAGGAACCTAATAAATCAACTATTATACACAGATACATGTAGACTCAGATAATAAAATTAAGAATACTTCCTGCTTCTATATTCTGATATCTTTGAAATTTTATATTATGGGCATAATTAAACAAAAATGATGTCCTAAATGAGATTTCTAAATTATCTTATACTTCTAAAGCTATTGTAAGGATTATATTATACTTCTAAAGCTACTGTAAGGATTCAATGAGGTAAATTATGAGAAAAATATCTTGTAAACTTTAAAGACTGCAAATATAACTGTCCTTATTATTATATGAGTTAAACCATATTCATATTGTTTGATAGAGTGTTTCTTGGTTATGGCCATGGAGGAAAATATAGGTGAATTTCTGATGAGGCTTTCTGTACACACATACTTCTACATTTGGGTTTATCATCAGAGTAAATAAATGGGTAGAATTTTTATAAATATTCTACAGAAGAGTAGCCCTGTCTTGGAGAGGAATGAAAGGCAGCATTTATCCAAAAAATTGCAAAGCATGTGGAAACTTTAATACACTGAATGGGATAATTCAACAAATACTCTTAATATACTTCTTTCCAAAATGGTGACATTTACTATTTTTTAAACTAACACACCAACTCTTTATCAATTTTGGCTGATAGATCACTGACATCTGTAGCTTAAAGACTTAAATTGGGGTTGGTAAATACAGAAAAGACTCCTTTTTTAAATTCTTAGGAGTTTCAGTCCTCATCAAGGTGAAAGAGCTGGGTGGCTAGATTTCCCTCATTCCAGAATCTCATCTACAAAATTATAGGATATTTTGTGGGTTCCTGGCAGAGCTAGAGGCAACAAAACATCTGTTACACTCAAGGCCACCATGGAAGAATCTGCTTCAAGCAACAAACTCACTACTCAGTGCTAAAAATGCTGTCTCCAAGCCATTACTTTTTATATATTTTTATCCCATATTTATTGGTAAGTATGCCAAATCAGCATATTTTCTTCATTAAAAGTGATAATTTTGGGATTCATGAGAACTCTGCTTCTGGCCTAGACATAGTAAAAGGGACCAGAATTTTCAGGCAGACCCTCTTGTTTTAAAAAACAACAAAAACGACAAAAAAAAAAAAAAAAAAACCTCAGACAAAATACGTGAGACAACAGTGTTGAACATACTGAACATTAAGACACAAAGGACTCTCCCTCTTGGGCCATGGCATAGGGAGGGAGAATCCAGGCAGAGCCTGGTGAACTCTAGTGAAAGAGAGGGAGCTGGGAGTCTGGAGAGTCGACGGAGGCTAGTGTTTGTAGAACAGAATATACCCAACAGGAGAGAACTACACAGAGACAGTTCACCACAGAGATCTGCAGTCCTGAACACTGCCGTGCTCTCTAAAGTACTCAGCAGAGGGTAGATTAGCATTCACAGGGGAGCAAACTCCTGGGGAAAGAGTCATCTGAATAGACCAGAGGGAGCAATACTTGGAGCCCACACTAGGCCAAGAGAACTGCCAATTCCCACCACTAAGACTGGAAAGCAAACTGTTTCATGGGGCATTGGGCAGAGGACCCAGAATGGTTTTGTCTTAGTAGTGGGGGATAATTAAACCTGGATTAAATAAATTATTGGTCCCACCTAACGAATCTTATAAGCAAGACCTAGAAGGATCAAACTGTTTCCAAATAACCTAACTATATAAGAAAACTAAGCTCAAGAGAATATATAGGACTACAAAGTACTGAGCACTCAGCAAGATAAAATTCATGTCTGGAATCCAATCAAGATTAACACTCAAGAAACAAAAAAGATATAGTTGAAAAGACAGTATATATTAAAATTAGCAGAGAAGTAATTAAAACAGTTATTAAAACTGTATTCCATATATTGAAAATATTAAATAGAGATGTGAAAAAAGAAAGCCTAATTGAACTTCCAGAGATGAAACTAACAATGTGTGAGATGAAAAATATGCCAGAAAGGAATAATAGCAAATTAGACATGCAAAAATAAAAAAAAATTTTAGACGTTTTAAGACATACCAATTGAAAATATACAAAATAAAATATACAGAAAAAAATCTGGGCATCAGTGATCAGTGGAACACATATAGTTAGTCTAAAATAGATGTGATTGGAGTCCTTGAAAATGGAAAGTATAAAATATTTGAATAGATTATAGCCCAAATTTTCCAAATATGATGAAAACTATACTCACAGATCTAAGCAGCTCAATAAATCCCAAGAGTAAGAAACACGAAGAAAGCTACAAAAAGGCACATCGTTATTACAAAAGACATCAAAATTATTCTGTAGATAAATGTAGTCTTTTCAAAAAATGATGCTGAAATAATTGAATATATGTAAAATACACTTAGAACTACATAAGAAATCACTCAAAATAGATTGTAGATTACAAAGTGAAACTTAAAACTATTTTTTCTATATCAAATCCATAAACTCCTGCTCCCCAATGTCAATTTTAAGAGAATTAAAAGACAAACCACAGATTGGGAGAACATATTTGCAAATCAAAAATATGATAAAGAACTTGTATATACAACATATAAACAACTCTCATAACTCAACAAGAAATCAAATAATTCAATAAAAAGTGGGAAAAATATTTGAACTGACAGTTCCTAAAAGAATATACATAAGAGTGGTAAATAAACATATACAAAGATGTTCAACCTCATTTGTCATTAGAGTATATAAATTAAAAGCAGAATAAGATGTCACTACCCAACGATTACAACAGCTAAAATTAAAAAGATGGTGTTGGTGAGGATGTGGAGGAATTGAACTCTCATACACTGCTGTTCTGATATAAAATAATGCAATCCATTTGGAAAACCATGTGACAGTTTTTCAAATACTTAAACACATGTCTACCATATGATTCAGCCATTCTACTCCTACATATTTATCCAAGACAAATGAGAGTGTATGTCCACACAAAGACTTGTATGGATGTTCATAGCAGCTTTATTACTATAGTAATAACCCCAAACCTGAGACAACCTGATCTCAAAATAGTTATGCTGAGTGAAATAAATCAGGCAAAAATAATATACAGTGTCTATTTTATTTATACAAATTTCTAGAAATGCAACTAATCTATCATCACAGAAAGTAAATCAGTGATTGGGATGAAGTTGAAGGGGCAGGAAGGAGGGATTACAGTGGGGAAGAAACTTCTGAGGGTGATGTGATGCAAATGTTTAGTATCTTGAGTAAGATGATGGATTCACAGGTTCATATATGTGTCAAAACATATCATATTGTACATTTTAAATTTGTGTATTTTATTCTGCGCTAATTATACTCCAATAAAACCTTCAAAAAGTGATTTTTATAATCCACATATTTTTTGTCTGTAAACTAAGAACTGCATACACACACACGCACATACACACACACACACACACACACACACACACACCCCGACACTCCATGACAATAAAAGGCCCACAGAACTAATGAGGAACATTAGCCTTCTCAAATTCACAAAAGAAAGGTTTTTGTACAATATACTTTTATTTCAATGTGAGAACCATGCAGTCCAAATGAAAAGAGGCAGGTCTTATGGGAGAGACTGAGTAGTTTAATAAAACATAGTAATAGGAGGAGCTGTATTCATAAAGATGAGAAAAATACTGATTTTTAAGGTAGTTTACTTCCTACTTTGCAGGTTGTTTCCACCACTCAAGAAAGTCTTTGCAAGAAGCTTTAAATAAAGATGAATGGGGAAAAATTAATGTAACTGGAAAAAATTAGTATCATTGCAAGATTTTCTATTGCTCTTATATTTTTGGTTTCAGGTTGAATTTGTTTTTGTTATCATTGACTATCAGAAATCTGAAGCATATAAAACTATAACGGGGGTTAGCTATACCTTCCCTAACTGTTCTTTTCCAGAAAAATTTTCTGATGGAAGTTCATGAAGTACATTGATGTGTATGTTTTCTGTACTCCTATGATCTATTCAAGAGATTGTAATTTTCATACAGGAACTATGAAATAATAATAATTTTCTAGTTCTCTTTGCTGCTTCTTTTTTTTTTTTTTCTTTTTTTTGAGATGGACTCTAGATCTGTAGCCCACGCAGGAGAGCAGTGGCACGATCTAGGCTCACTGCAACCTCCGCCTCCTGGGTCCCGGTTCAAGCAATTCTCCTGCCTCAGCCTCCAGAGTAGCTGGGATTACAAGCATGAGCCACCATGCCCAGCTAATTTTTGTATTCTTAGTAGAGGCGGGGTTTCACCATGTTGGCCAGGCTGGTCTTAAACTCTTGACCTCGTGATCCACCCGCCTCAGCCTCTTAAAGTGCTGGGATTACAGGCGTGAGCCACTGCTCCCAGCCCTCTCTTTGCTTCTGTGAAGGATATAACTTTAAAAACTTATAAAAATGTATGTTTAAAGGAGATTTTCATTATTAATTTCTTTTAATATACATTAAGATGGAAATTTCAATTCCATTAATTACATACTGCATAATTTTACATTGAAAAAGGAAGCCTTCAAGACAACAATTTCCATGGTATCCAATGAACCTGATTAAAATAATGGGCTATCTCCATAACAAGTGCTTAGATAAATGGTCCTATTCTGTCAGAGAGGAATGGGTCTTATTAGAAACTGCATTGCTCTGTTATGCTATTATAAGATTAATGCAGAAAAAATGTTTAGTTCCTTTTAATAAAATCCAATGACTTGTGAACTGGACTAAATGTCAGTAAATAGTAAGTGTAACATCGTCTGCTTAATTTGGTTGTTTAATTTGGCCCTTAGTATAAAGATTTGAGTTTATGCAGCATCTTACTTCCCTACACTCATTAAATCTCCTTCTGCCATGTTTCAGAGAATAAAGGAGGGCTTATGTAGTTCTGATTAAATAAGCTACAGAGTTATCTTTAGAGGTGATATTAATATCTTCCCAAACTATAATCCATCCTTGAGGTACTGCAATATTTTAAATATTTTTGTAAAGACATGCAGAGGTAGAAAAAAGACTAAGATATATTGATGAATTTATTTTATTGAATATAAAAATACATATTTTTGAAATCTTTAGAACACTATAGATACTAATATACTATACTAAATTCATATGTTATGAAAATACAGAGGTTACTGTAATTTTGTACAGATAAGCACAACTGGAACCTTATTATTATCTATCAGCCATATATTTCTGTGAGTGTACAATTATTTAGCCCATGGCTTTTATTTTATTCTGTTCATTACCAATAGCTAACATTTCTCATTATACAAACGGGAAAATAACCCCTCAAAACTACCTCTTACTTTATACTCCCTATAGAATTTTGTTAAATAATGTATTTAAACCTACTACTTGTTCATCAGTTTTAGCCATTAAGGCTGCTACAACACCCTTCATATCTCTTTCTTGGCTTTAAAGTCCTATTGTTATTATTCTTTTATTATTATTATTTTTTTGAGATGGAGTCTCATGCTGTCACCCAGGCTGGAGTGCAGTGGCACGACCTCGGCTCATTGCAACCTCCGCCTCCCAGGTTCAAGCAATTCTCCTGTCTCCTCCTGAGTAGCTGGGACTACAGGCACCTCCCCACCACGCCCGGCTAATTTTTGTATTTTTAATAGAGACGGGGTTTCACCATATTGGTCAGGCTGGTCTTGAACTCCTGACCTCAGGCTGGTCTCGAACTCCTGACCTCCCAGGTTCAAGCAATTCTCCTGTCTCAGCCTCCTGAGTAGCTGGGACTACAGGCATCTGCCACCATGCCCAGCTAATTTTTGTATTTTTAGTAGAGATGGGATTTCACCATATTGGTCAGGCTGGTCTCGAGCTCCTGACCTCAGGAGGTCCACCCACCTCGGCCTCCCAAAGTGCTGCGATTACAGGAGTGAGCCACCGCACCCGGCCTTGTTATTATTTTTAACATCAGAATTTGATTTACATTTTACAACATATTCTGTTCTGTAGTCATGTTCCAGTGAACTACAGCTACAGTTAATTGATATAACAATCACAAAACCTCCATGGCATACGATACTCATGTATTTATTTCTCAGACATCTGAGTGTTGCTGGGGAGTGGTGTCAAGAGATCTAGAGTGGGCTACACTAAGCTCTACTTTGAGATAAAGGTCTGCTGGGCTTGGTTCCTTGCTGAGGTTTGGGCTGAAGTCAGCTCCCTGTGTGATCATTCAGAGATCCAAGCTGAGGGTACAACAGCTATCTTTTGCTCCTTTGCTGTGATGATGGAAGAAGTTCCGAAAAGAAAATGAAACATGCAAAGCCTAGGCTCATAAGAAACTTATTGTCATTTCGTGTCAATGGCCAAACCAAGCCATATCTCCAAACCCAAAGTTAAGGGGTGAGAAAAATATATTTCTCCTTATAGGAGGATTTAAATGTCATAAAACAAGAGTAAGAATATAGGGAGGGGCAAAGAATTGGGGCAATAATGACCATTTTACATTAATTCCTCAATATCTTGTCTATAATTGGTTGTAAAAAGTGGAACAATGAGAATACTTACCATACAATAATTATATGTTAATTATTGTAGAATCAAGTAAAAAAAAGTCACTGCACTTCACTAAAAATGTGCCACTTTATGGAGGCTGTTCTAGCATTACAGTCAAATGGACTTCCTTCTGATGCATTCTACCAATTGTTTAAAATCACGACACATTTAATGCTTCATATTTATAGTTTTTTTTTCTGGAATATTTAATTTTTTTTTTTGCTTGTTAGGAGAAGTATAAACTTATTCACCATGTCAGTATTTTTATTGAAATGTACTTCCATACTTCTTGAAGAGGCCTCCTGGAGCCCTCTTCTGCTTCTGCTTTTTTTTTTTTTTTTTTTTTTTAAAGACAGAGTCTCCCTCTGTTGCCCAGGCTGAAGTGCTGTGGCCGGATCTCGGCTCACCGCAACCTCTGCCTCCCAGGTTCAAGCGATTCTCCTGCCTCAGCCTCCCAAGTAGCTGGGATTACAAGCGCCCGCCACCACGCCCAGCTAATTTTCGTATTTTTAGAAGAGACGGAGTTTCACCATGTTGACCAGGCTGGTCTTGAACTCCTGACTTCAGGCAATCCTCCTGCCTCGGCGTCCCAAAGTGCTGGGATTACAGGCATGAGCCACGCGCCTAGCCTCTGCTTCTTATTCTAAGTTTAGCTGATTCCTTTCTAGGTCTGCTGCAAGCTCCATCCTGGGATATCTTCTCCTTGCTCACCTGGGCTTATTCTACCCTTTCTTGGATCCTAGGTTTCTATTTTTTGTGTCCTCTTTTCATTTGCAATAAAACATCTTTAGGTAATTTTCATGAAAGGAGTAAGTATAACATTATTTTGAGCCTTAAAATTGTCCCAACACTTGAATAACATTTGGCTAGTCATAGAAGTCTAAGTTCAAATTCATATATCCCCAGAAAGTTAAAGGTACATTAATTTTTTCATCGTCTTTTAATATATGGTTGCTGCCAGAGACATTTGAAGCCAATATAATTTTTGCTACTTTTGAGTTAACCTGTTACATCTCTTAGGGGATTTGGCATTTTTTCTATATCCAGATTTTATTAGACTGTCTAGAATTGTTTTTCATTCATTGTGTTGGTATGCATTAATTTTTTCAACATGAAGGCTCATTCATAACATTGGAGTATTCCAACGTAACGTTATTCGTTACTCCATTCCTGTGTTTTCTCTGGAATTAGTCCCGTGCTGAATATCTTAAATCCATTCTCCATGTTCGTTAAGCATATATCTTCTATTTTTTATTTTATCTAAGTTTTGGAATATTTCTATGACTTCAACCTCTCACTACACTTTTTAAAAATAAGTTCTCCAATCATATCTTTTATAACCATCAACTCTTTTTCAAGGTGACATATAGTATTCTTGTTTTATGTATATCATATTTTCTTTATGATCCTAATTAAGATGTTTAAAAAGGTCCCTCTGTTCCATGAATCATACTTTCTTCCTCTTGCATCATTTATTTATGTGTTCATTTTGGATCTTCTGTTTTGTGCAGTTTACTTCAAATGTCTGGTGAACCTTGATTGCCTACTTACACGAATGAAAGACTAGATTGACTTGTATACTTAACTGTATACAAGTGTAGTTTATTCAGTACTTTAATAGTTTTATTTTTGAACAAGCTTCTGTCCTGTACGGAGGACTGACTGTATCCTCTAGAGGGGGAGCATAGGCTGGGAGAAAGTAGCAAGGCTATCCTCATCTTGCAAAATAAGGTTTTATTCAGTGTTGTCAATTTCTGCCTTAGGAACCCAAGTTTTCCCCTAGTAAACTCTGAAATTTTGGAGACAGTAGTCTTCTAGGTTTAGCCTTGGAAATCATGCTTTATATGAAGGAGGAATAGGGAAGGGAAGAGGAGGGCAACCAGGACAGCTGTTCCAGAGTTCTTAATTAATTTACCTGCTGTCTGTCTACTCTGTTCTCTGTACCAGCTCACCCCTAGCTAGCCTGGACCCTTTCCACTAGGCAGAGAATAGCTTCTACTTCCATTTCAGACTTTTCCAGATCAGGGATGTAGGCTCAAGGACTCCTTCTTTATCAACACAATTCCCTCCTGTATGCTGTCATCTAGAAATGCCAAAATTCACTGGGGTGCTAATAGTCCCTCTCGCTACTTTTAGTCTATTACAAACTTATTCTTTAATTTTAAAAATTCATTTAATCTTCACTGTCACTTCAATGTGGTTTGAGAATAAGGGGATGCTAAATATGTATGCTCAGTTTGCTATCTTAAAAGGCTAAGTTTAAATGTTGCTAATGAAGAGGCTTTTTTAGCACTTTGAAAACAACCTCTTATCACTATCACTATCTCTTGGCTTAGATACAGCTCTCTAGGGAGGGTGGCAGCCCCCAAAATAAAATCATTTCTTCTGACTGCGCAGTCAAATTACAGAAGAGTATATTCCCTAAGAGAGCAATAATCTTGGTCCCAGAGTTTGTTCAGGAAAGCCTCAGGAGAAGTAATTCTTTTTTAAAAATTTAGCATCCACCAGAAATAAATCTTTCTTCAACATATATTCATTTGAGACACTAGACCAGAGTACTATCAGCACGTCATAGACACCGAAAGAGAAAAAGAGAAGTTAAACACAGTTGAGTTTCTTCCTTCTCTAGTAATGTCTTTATCCATTTTTTCATGCCAGAAATTAACCATGATCCATAATTTCTTTCAAAAGGTCTTAGAAAAAAACATAGCAGATCAATAATAAAGCTCTAAGGATGTTTTTTTACCATTTTTTTCTATTAAAAATGTCAAGAGTAATTGATAAGAATCTCTATACAACCTTTTGGTTTTCTCTTTAAAAAGAAGTGGGATCAGGAAAAGTAACTAATGGGTACGAGGCTTAATACCAGGGTGATGAAATAATCTGTACAACAAACCCCCAAGACACGTTTACCTATATAACAAACCTGCACATGTACCCCTGAACTTAAAATTAAAAAAATGGGGGATTTACTCAATCATTGACTCTGAAACAGTTTTGTACATATTCCAGATGTGAAGTAAGCAATCCAGTAAATAATATTTAAGCTAGTATAAAGAATCAATATAAAGAGGTTGGGGACCATGGTGTAATTGAAAAATTTACTTTTTTCAATTAAAAATATGTATGTATGTATGTATTTGCCTATGGATGTAATGTATACATAGTTTCTGACATTATTATCTCATTCTGCATAGTCAACATAACTTATAAAATGATAAAGTCTGGTTCTATGTTTTCTCAAAATCAATTTCTTGGACCATTTCCATTTGCCCACATAAAATAACTCTGTTCCTAACAGTGTTAAAGCTACCATTCTGTGTCACCTTTGTATGTAAGAAGCCTGTGGAGAGAATGATACAAAAGAAGAAGATTTTTAATCTCTCTAAATTCTTGTTGGTAAATTTGCTTTTCCCTTTTAATTACTTCTTGTAGAGATGTAGTATGAATTAAAAAAATAACGTAACGCTAAATGTAGAATTTACTAAATGCATAAATATTTGGAAGAAAGAAAATAAAACACAACTTCAGCATTAGAATACTGCCTATTTGGGTGCCAATCGAAGGAGATTTTTCTGAAATTTTCTAGACAATGATAACCGGAATCTATTACAGAACAAAGAAGTGTTGCTATAACAAAGCAGCATGCTGCATATAATTAAAGCATTAAAATAGCATACAGACAAAACAGGCACAACAAGTTTTGTTATATATGAGGAAAGATTCTTTAAAAATTGTAAAACCAGATGTGCCAAATGACTGAAAGTAAAAATAACTTGACATCTGACTGGTTTATAAATCCATCAATTATATTGGATAGAGTTAAGTAATATTTTGGCATTTTCACTTTGTTACCTTTATTCAGCAATTCACAAAAATGGGTAACCTTAAGGGTCTTACCAATTTACCTCTTAGCTCTGAAAGTGAATACTGCTCAGATATTTTAAAGAATGGTATCTGCACTGAAGGAAATTAAAGTAAATACTGAGAAAATAATTTATCCAATTCCCACTAGCAATACACACACAAATTCAGCTGCATTCCTACATATCTAAATATGTCAGCTTTTTCTCAGAGACATGCCCTGAATTATCCTACAAAATAGAATACATCAAAGATGAAAGAGCATTCAGAACATCAGCACAGAAATACATCGATTTCTAAAACATAATTTTAAAGTGCTTCCAGCATATACAAGATACATTCATATTCCTCAGTTGTGTAGTGCCTAGTACTACCTTATTATAAAGTAAGCTTTGCATCTATTTACTACTTATCCCTCAATTACATGGTAAAATTGGATAGTTAAAAATAGAAGAACACATAAATATAGAAATCATTGGCTTTATGTCTGGAAACCTTTATCCTAAGATGTTTAGAAATACGCTTACTTAAAAAACAAAACCTGTATTTGTGATAAGTTCTCTTAATTTTGGTAATGGGGTGTTTAACTTCTAAAACCTGAGGTTAAGAAATTAAATTCTGTCATTTCATGTTTTGGTGTTGCAGTTCCATTCTCGGCATAAGGGATATTGATCTAATAATCATACTCTACTCCTCCAAATATCTAGTCATTTTATGTCCCCACAAACTCATTTATTATAAAACCCATAAAACTATTCCCTGTGGTGCCTATAACAAAGGAACAAACTGAACAATAAAAAGGAACAATGTACATTTTTATTATGTTTTAACGATATCCCCATTGCCAGTACATACACAACCAAGTGGAAACGTTTTAGCCACTGGCATTTCCAGAGATCCACTTTTTGCCACTCTGCAATACAAATTCACGGGTGAAAACATCCATTAACAGAAAAGTTAAAAGGCAATATCTATCTATTATAAATAAACAGTACATTTATGAGTTAATCCATCTTAGGTCACTACATGAAAGCCAGGCACAGTCATTGTTACAGGTATTTCTCTTCCTGCTGCATAAAATTCTGATTGAAATTTTATCGTGTTTCAAAAATCATACGTAGACCAAGTGTGTAGGTAGAAAATGGTGTCTTTAAATTAGCTAGAATCAGAAAATATGATTTATATAAATGTAATAAAACTCATTTATTGGTTACTCTTATAAGTTCAAGCTTACCTGACCCCATATATTGTTAAGTATATTTTTTTCATTCAACAAATACACATTCTAGTCCTTTCTAGCCATAGTCTCAAAACACTTGATCATATATCCCAGTAGTAAAATTTTAACTGTGGCACACACTTTCAATAAATATATACTTAAGAATTTATAAATTATATACAATAATTAACAAATGAATAATTATGTTCATAATAAACTGTATATAGGAAACATAAATTTTAAAATAATGAGATATGGTTACAATAAACATTTTTAAAGCATGTTCCCAATTGCAATGGCTTCATGTTATCATTAACTAATACCTAAAAGCATAAAACACAGTATTCCCTCTGGGTTAGTTTATCAACAATAATGGTGGACGTAAACACATATTATAGATCATGTTGATAATTTCAACTTTGGGATCCAATCTCTTGTTACATATAATTACTTTGGCACTGCTTTATCTCATAATATTTTGTATTTAGTTCATAATAGAATAAATGCTAGCTATTTTCTCACCGCTTGTGTTGTTGGCATTTTCTTCATTCTGACATTTCTCTGCAGATTTCTTTTCAGGCCAATTGTGGATTTGGTTAGAATTAATTTAATAGATAACATAATAGTCACATTGTGATAAAAGGGTTCTGCTTTGTAGAACTACTACTCCTTCTTCAGAACCTTTGTACTGGTTTTTTTGACAGACAACTCCAGTGAGGTGCCTCTGTCAATACATGAGGTAAACTGCAATGCACTTAATACATGTACTTGTTAACAATAAATAAACATACAAGCAAGTTATCTTATTTTCTTTCCACTTCTCAGGGGATTATCTCTTGAACTTTTCTGGGGTGTATACATCACAACATGGAAACAACTACTCTATAAGTAGTGTCTAGGAAGATGAATCTGGGGATTTAAAATATAACCTATTTGTTTTTAAGCATAAAACCATGTTCAACTATTTATAACTCCTAGAGAATAATGAATGGTTGATAGAACTTGATTTTTCTTATTTTAATACTTTATTTTATTTTATTGCTGGAATATTAACGACATTAAAACATGAATTTTGTGTTTTATTTTTTGCTACATTCCCTCTTCCAGAACAGTGCCTGACAAACAGCAGCTGCACGTGAAGCAGTTTTTAAATGAATCAAAGCTTATTCAGCTGCAGGTAATGGTTCTTTCCATTGCTCCCAGTTATTCCCAGTTTACCCAGCACTTTCCAACATCCTCTCCACAGTCCTGAGAGGTGTCATTTTCATTTTCTTCTTTTTTTTCTTTTCTTTTCTTTCCTTTCCTTTCCTTTCCTTTCCTTTCCTTTCCTTTCCTTTCCTTTCCTTTCCTTTCCTTTCCTTTCCTTTCCCTTTCCTTTTCCTTTCCTTTTCCTTTCCTTTCTTTTCTTTTCTTTCAATAGTTTTGGGGAAACCAATGGTTTTGGTTACATGGATAAGTTCTTTAGTGGTGATTTCTGAGATTTGGTGCACCCATCACTGCATGGTGTACAGTACCCATTATGTAGTCTTTTGTCCCTCACTCCCCACCCTTCTTCACAAGCCCCTATGGTTCATTATATCATTCTTAAGCTTTTGTGTCCTCACAGCTTAGCTCCCACTTACAAATGAGAACATACAATAGTTGGTTTTCCATTCCTGAGTTTCTACACTTAGAATAATGGTCTCTAATACCATCCAGGCTGTTGTGAATGCCATGACTTTGTTCCTTTTTTATGTCTGAGTAGTATTCCATGGTGTGTATATACCACATTTTCTTTATCTACTCATTGATTGATAGGTGTTAAATAGATAAACTGTTCCCAACATAAAGAAGGAAAAAAATATATTCCTTTGACTAGCTTCAAGACGAATGCCTTTTTAAAACCTGGGTTTGTTATGACTAATGCTTAACTCGGGTCTAGTTATCTGGACAAATAATAAGATTACAGGACAACTGTAAGATAAAGATTCACCCCAACCAAAGAATGAGCACTGGGGTTTCTCATTAAAAAAAGAGCTTCACAGTCTATAATATTTCAAACAAAACAAAAGCATCCTTTACCTAATACTAGATATTTGTTTCTACCTGATCCTGAATCAAATCTTGAGGAAGCTGCCATTGTTTTTCTGATTATTTCTAGGTAATAAAAATGCCCTAAGCTTACTTTTAGCTACTAGACAATCGCCTGTACCTTCCTTACTAAAATAAGTCTAGTTTTGTAGCATCTAAAAATTCATAGTGATATCCAAGTTGGAACTCCTCATTCCCAGCTTAGGCCTACCTGGGAAAATTGCAGTGGAGAAGTGGGACCTCACCTAAAATTCACAGTCTGGGTCACAATGGAAACTCTCTTATGGGTCTAAATCATTAAAAGTTATCATAAGGCTAATAAATTATTTAAAACATTTGTCACCTATCTTTCTAACAATGTGGAAGACTAGGTTGGAATTTAGAACTCTAAATTTAGAACTAGGTTGGAATTTAGAATTTAGAATTGAGGACCATAAGAGAAACAGCTTTCAACCCACTCTTCTCTACAGATATCCAAGCCCAAGCACCTGATCACTGTCTTTCCCAAGCAGTAATCAGATATTCCATGGCATGTCACTGATCCCAGGTGTGTGCCCACTAGTGACACAGTGACACATGGGAGGACAGATATGGAGAAGGGGCTCACATGGGGCCTAGAAGTATGCTGGGTACCATTTGGGCAGACCATTCTGGGTTCTGGATTATCTTCAGCATGGTCTAGAAAGGGGAATAAGTCTCCAGGTGGGCATGTTCCCTTGTACCCATGGATGTCTTGCTCCATAGAGAGGAGTGGTTCCAGAAGAAAGCCAGAGCAAGATCTCCAATGTGAGATCCAGGACAAGGGGTCCCTCCTGGCAGTGTCTAAGGAAGGAACTGGGAAGTGAGTTAAGGCGATATTCTCTTCTCTCATTCCACCTTATCCTCCATTCTCTAGTTTCTTTTGACATCTTCAGTACCAAAGTGGATGAGATGAAATCCTTGATGGTCAGGTTGAAACATGGCTTTGGTGATCTGGATTTGGCAGATGTGCTTTGTGGGCTCTTTTTTTCCTGGGACAATGGAAGGTTCTGTGATGACATTTCATCACTGGGAATTCTTTACCTCTAGCTGCCTTCTTTTATGGGCCTTTATGCTCTGTGCCCTGGATCCCCTTGGAGCACCATGTTGATTGCACAGGGACCTTCTCTGGATTTTCCTCTTGGGCTCCCAAGATAACAGAGCTTCTTGGTTTTGAGAAGTCCACATCTGGCCCACAGGAAATCCACACATATTCTTTCCCTGCCATATTCTAGAACTGTACTCCATTCCCCATACCTTTCTCTGTCCTTGATCTGTATCCAGTGAGGACAGCTTAGGCCATAGCCCCTTGTCTTTGGGCCTCCCAAGAAAGGCACTGAAGCAGCAGTCCATATGTAACTGATTATATGACATCATCATAATAAAAGGAAAAGCTTAGTGTTTTATTTCTTTCTGACCTTCCCACAGTCCTTTTCTTCCTTTTTCAGTAATAACATACTTAATATCAATCATATTTTTAAAAGTAAATATTTAGGGAAAACAGACAGTGGGCTTTTAAATCGACCAAGACTCTTGAGCTTTGTATTTGAGAAAGCTTTAAAAATAAAAGTTGGGCAAGAAATTTGAACCTCAAAGAGTGACTCTACTTTTAGATGACAAACCCAAATCATGTTTAAAGTCCCTGAAAAACAGAAAATGACCAGGAAGTTCATTTTAAATATACTCTCTAAACCATTTGAGAATTGCAGGCCATAAACTATGGCAGAAAGATAGCTGGCAATAAATTTTTCCTCAATTTGGTTGCTCTGAAGAGGAAAGAGAAAGACTATGTTCTCAGACAAAAATGTCACTTACATTCCTATGAGACTATACCTTAAAGAGAAACTGAAATACGTTATATTCCTATGAGTTTAAAATATCAATTAAAAAATAAAGCTCACTAAGAATTAAGTTACTTTAAGGAAATAAGGTAATTTCATGTTTATTTACTTTTTAACATATAAGACCATCAATGCAAAAATACACTAAATATCTTGGATGACTTTATTAATAAAAAAGTCATGGATAGCTCAGAAATTCATCTAATCAAACTTAAAAGACTAATCAGTGCAACTTAAGATCAAAATCAGCCATGCTAGGTCAATCTATCTACGTAACTTAGAATAATGTTAGTAGTAAGGTATTAACATGGACATTGTGACATCTTTTATAGACAGAAAAATGCATAAGGAAAGTTTTAGCAAAACAAAACAAAACACATGTATAAACTTGCAGTTTAATTCATCTTAAATGAAGATACTGAGAATGATTATCCATACTAGAAAATGCTATCCATTTTCATCAAAATACTATCCTGTCATCAAAAGTATGATGTCATCAAATTCTACCTTATAAACTTCTAAACGGATTCCATTGCTTTACTGTATTTAAATATGGTGAATCATTTATACTAATACATAGCTCTTTAGAAGCTTGTAATAATTGACTGCTTTTAAGAAGGCCAACTTAGACCTCTGAAGCTGGCCATAAGGGACTACTGCTGTATATGCTGTGCTATGATTTTCTCATCATATATGCAGATACAACTGAGAGGGATCTGAAAAAATATTTTTTTTAATATATGCCCTGCTTTTTCCACAAATCAGTTAAAACGGTTTGCAGTAAAATCCCTACATATGAAGAGACGTAGATATAAAAATAAAAATAGGTATCCTAAATGATTGGGAAGAATAGGAACGTAGACTAGGATACTTACTGGATTTGAACATTAAGTTTGTCTATGTAGATAAAATAGCTTTTATAGTTCTCATTACTTGATGACATGGGTATCTTCATACTTCAGAAATTATAAATATGTGCTTCCTTGAATTTAAATAAAATATATTTAAAAATATACTGGTAAAATATGCCAGCACTAATTCATTCAATAAATATTTATAGTACAGCTACCATGTGACAGGCACCCTTGAAAGATATAAGAGAAATATCCGTATGTAAAATAGCCATATATCCCTGCCAAGTAGTGGTAAATAACCCCAACTGGTCAAGTTCAAAAGACAAGATAATTGCAATGATCTCTGTTGCAATTCACCGTGGTGTTCTCTAGCGTTCTGCTTTGGTAGTCAAACCATAAACAAGTGTTTAGTGTGCTCTTATCACTCACTTATTTATAAATTCATTTACCCAATATATTTTGAGTACCTACTACATGCAAATCACAATTCTAGGTTTTGATCAGGAATCATAGATGACTCAGGCAGAAATTATCTTTAAGCTGCCTGGAGTGAGGAGAAATATATAAATAAATACAAAACAAGGGAGAAAGAATGAAGAAGTAAGTGTCTTACAAGGTTGAAAGCAGAGGGACTTTCCTGCCTGAGGAAGTAGAAATCCTAGGAGCGTTTTTGGAGGATCTGGGCCTGGCATTATCGATGAGCGATAAGGGCAAGGGCTTTCCAGGCACAGAAAGAAAATCAGCAAGGGCAGGACAATGGGAAATTAAGGATCCTGAAGGACGGATGGCAAGTGGCTAACTTTAGAGAACCATTTGTATGTAAAGGGGAATATGAAAATAAATTAAGGAAGTTAGATCAGGGTCAGATTTTTGGCAAGAGAATAGGTTCAGATTGTGAAGCTGGTGTCCCTAACTGTGCTTCTTGCTATTAAAATGTAAATAAAGCATACAGCTAGACTCTGGTCCTTAGGAACTTTATAATCTAATATGTACATGGCCGGACAAATGCAAGATCCTCACATTGAATTGTTCCCATATTCCTTTCTTTTACCAGATGATGTTTAGAGTTCTATAAGAAAAGAAACTACACACCTGACACAGTTCAGGAAAGGTCACATATTTAGAGCCATCTCATCTACGACAAAACCATCTTCTACCTGTGTTTTACCTTTTACTTGTGACTACCGTTTCTCAAGGCATCATTTCTCACAACGGCAACTCTTGTGCTGCATTCCTCTTCTAAGTGCTGCTAGCTCCTGCCTTCCAATATTGCTCTTGAAGGATTCACTGCCTAGGCTGTGAGAATGTAGCATTAAGGCATACACAACTGGGAAATAGTAGCTGACAATGGACTAAAGGTATGAGAAGCAAAGTGACTCCAACAAAAACAGTGTGCTCACTGTAAACAACAAATAATGACAAAACCTCCAGCAGCAAGAGAGGCAAATGGCTCTCTCGATAATCTTGATGGAAAGCACTGTTCACGGCTCCTTCATCTTTTAGACAAAGGATGGCACCACGTGCAAGGTAACATTAACATAATCACTATTTGTGGGGACAATTCTAAGTGCTGAATAAGTGCTTGTAGACAGTTATGCATGGGTGGCTGTTCCTTCTACTGTATATTTGTATTAAAACATGTATATGTGCAAATGCAACAGAACCCTGCATTAAACTTCAATTCCACCCACCCTTGCCTCCTACATATTTATCAATCATTTAACAATAACCCTTTCATCTTTTCTTGCTTCTGCCTCACTTTGTTTCCATCTGCCCTCTCTCCTTTGCATACTAAACTCTCCATTTTGAAATTTCCATGCCACTGTCACTCCTCTGTCTTCCAAGTGATTGATTTAAACAATCTTAAAAAGCTTTAAAAATTATCTAACAATTATTTGTTTAGCAATCTTTATATACTACATGGCTCCTCATATTCACCAAAAATCTAATAAACACTGACAATCTGACAATCTCCAAAAGGAGGAGATGAGGTACCGTGTTCCTCAACTTATTTGGCCATGGGCCTCTTGTTAGAGGAAGTATTATTTTTCTTCACATTAATTTTATAAGCTCTTAAAGACACATACTATTTAAGAGTTTTTGTTTGTTTGTTTGTTCTCCCTTGTTGTTCTCCCTTGTTTTGTTTGTTTGTTTGTCTTTTTCAAAGCCCAATATCATGGGAGATAGACTGCTATTAGACAATACATTAAATGATTCATTGGTTAACACACCAAGGCTCATTCATTCATTTGTTTACTTAACAAATATTTATCAAGCACCTATGATGAGCTAGGCACTTTTTAGGCACAGCAAATTACAGCAAAATGTAAACAAATCAAGTCCTTGCTCTAGAAAAGATGCTTACTCTCTAAAGAGAAGAAAAATATTAAAACATAAATATAAAATGTGGCAGATGGTGATGAGTGCTAAGAAAATAAAGATGAGTAAAAGAGAGGAACAGCAAAGAGATGGTGGAGGAAGATGTTAAAGAATGCTGTTGTCTTCGGGTTAGTTGGAGGAAGCCACTCTGGAAAATTCTTACTTGAGCTAAGATCTAAGAAGAAAAGGAAAGGGAGCAAGAATCATGGTTATCTAGCAAAGAGGAGGCCAGGTAAATGATCACAATGCAAAGGCCCCAGACTGGAAGCTGGACTGACACATCTGAGGTCAGCAGAGAACTGTGTGGCCAAAGTAGAATCAGCAAGGTGGAGTATAGTTGGATATAAGATCAAGAGAGACGAACAGGAACGGGGCATGCCAGGTTATTTTTGTTCACTATAAAGACTTTAGATTCTGCTTGAAGTGAACTATGAAACCATGGGAGATTTTAAACACAGAAATGACTTATTACTACGTATATTTGAAGGTATCGGTCTGGATTTTTTTTGAGAATAAATTGGGAGCAAGTGTAGAGTCAGCAAAATCATTAGGAGCACGTCATAGTGCATAATGCTGCCTTAGGAAGAAGTGAAGGTGGTAAGAGGTGATTAAAATCTGAATGTGTTCTTAAACTAATCTCAGAGCATGCAGGAGACATTGAGTATAGATAACTCTTCTAAGGAGTTTGATTGGAAAGTGTAGAACCAGAACAATAGCGTTCATGAGTTTGCCCCTTCCTTTCCTCAGACTCCCACACCTCTCCTCTCTCTCCCCTTCTTTTCCTCCTTCTCTCCCTGCTTCTCACCTCACATACTGAGAAGGTGTACACTCTCAATTATAAGATGTTACTTTTTAAATTGAGGCACCTGGTGTTTCAATCCTCTCTACTGCCTAATTTAGCACAGATAAAATCAGTATCTATTTCTGTTTTATTTTAGTACCGATTTCTTTTACTATGATGAAAGAATAAGTATTCTGAAAACCAATAATACCAAGAATGATAGTTTATCAGCATACAGAACATTTAATTGTACAAAACACTATCACATATACTAAATTGACAGGGCATCACCAAGTGGGATCTGAGAATAGGCAAGTGGCCCAGTTATTTCTATTCTAAAACCAAGGAAACCAAGACCTGTTATTATCATTACTTAAAGTTGATATGACTTGTTAAGAGTATAGAAGGAATGGAAGTTTAAGTCTTTTCTACATTTAAATTCTCAGCTCTTTCAACAACCATGCTGTCATTATCCAAATAAACTGCACTCATTTTATTTAGAAAAAGTCAGAAACAATTCCTTTACTTATCAACCAAAAAAGCATTTTCAGATCAAGGAGAGAATAATTCTCATTTGGAAATATTTCAATTTAAGATATATCATATAAAATGATTAAAATCTCCTGAATATCTAAGTCTGCTTATTTCCAAACGATGCATTGCCTTAAATTTCTCTAAACTTCTAGGCTATGGCATAATTGCAAAATAAATTAAAATGTTGAGAGCAAAATCAATCATTCTAAAGGCTGACATTAGTAAATATCCACTCTATGCAACTGTGATTTCCAGATTTCCTATTCAAATGTAAATGATGTTCTATTTTTTAAAATCATTGTTGTATTTTAGCATGTAATTATTAGTCTTGATTTACATACTTCTGTTATGTTTTCTTTAAAATATACTGCATTACACTATCATGACACATAACACACAATATATCTAAAGACAACCAATTTTATGGGTCTTTTAAAAATATCAAAAATTAAAAATTCAACATCCTAAATAGCATTGAATATATTTAAGACCTTCCTTGTACCTGTACATACCTATATATGTATGAACATATACATTATTTCTCTTTAAATTTCTAGATTCTATCTTAATGATGCTGTTGAAAGATAGAAAGAGTGGCAATCACAATGCATACTTGAAATCATAAGAACAGTATATTACGCTGCCCACATCTATAGTAAAAAGTGAGGTAAAAAGAGAAATAATTATAATGCTACTGAAATTAACAAAAATATCCCATAAATATTTATGATGCTGGTCGTAATTGACTTCAAACTATTTTTCATATACGAACATTGTTCAACTCCTCCCAAGTGTTCATTACTACCTTGGTCCAAGCCACCATCACCTCCCAGGTGGTTGCAAGGTTCCACGCTTACCCCCACCTGAACCTATTCTTTGCCATCTGCCAGAATCATTCTCCAAATAGAAATTAGTTCATTTACTCCCTTGCTGTCCACCTTCCAAAAGTGTGCTTCCACAATTACAATTACACAACTACAATAAAACTAAAAGTCCTCTCTATGGCTTACACGTCCTTGACTATTGCTCAGGTCCTCTTTCTGCCCACTCTCTTAATCACTCACCATGCTCCAGACACATACCCATCTTAGGATTCAATACTTGCTAATCCTTGTGATTCACATACTTGACCCCCTGACTTCATTCACATCTCTGCTTGTTACTTGGTAGGAGCAAGCTTCTTTGGCTAAGCTCTAAAACAGCACTCACGCCCCTTTGTTCCATAATCTCCATTCTTACAAAACATAACAAAACTTGTTATTATGCATTGTGGTGCTGTTATTTCTGATTGAAATTTTAGTTGAGATAATTATAGATTCATATCCATTTGAAAAACTATAATACAAAGAAATACCATATATATTTTAATCAGTTATCCTCAATGGTTAACATTTTACAAACTACAGTATAAAAACAGAACCAAAATATTGACATTACTATGATAGTCCAATCTTATTCAGATTTCTCCAGTTTTACTTATATTGATATGTGTATGTAATTAGGCTCTATAGAATTTTATCACATATGTAGGTTTCTGTATGTGTCATCACAGTCAATATACGAAATGGTTCAAACACAAGGACACCTCATGTTGCCCTTTTATAACCACACTCACTTCCCTCTGTCCCTAACATCTGGAAACCACTAATCTATCCTCCATTTCTAAAACTTTGTCATTTCAAAAATGTAATTAAATGGGTCATCTAGTATGTATTCTCTTGGGATTGGCTTTTTTTTTTCACTCAGCTTAATTTCCTGGAGATTTATCTAAGTTGTTGTATGTATCAATAGGTCCTTCCTTTGCATTGCTGAGTAGCAATTCCATGGTATGTATGTACCACAGTTTGTTTAACCATTTGCCTGTTGAAGGACATCTGTGCAATTCTAGATTTCAGGCATTACAAATAAAGCTGCTATGAGTATCCAGGTACAGGTATTTGTGTGAACTTTAACTTTTTACTTATCTGGGATAAATGCCCAAGAGTGTAATTGCTGGACTGTATGGTAATGCCTGTGTCACATTTTCATCATCTTTTTCTCCATTAATGAAGTTCTATGACAGCAGAGACTTGGTTATTTTGGTTCAGTGCTATATTCCACTATCCAGATTAGTGCTTTGCACTGAGTAGGGAGTTAATAATATATTTGTTGTATAAGTGAGCTTCAGATCCTCATGAAAATTTATTCTCTTGTTTATAGCTGCCTTTACAGGAGAAATGATATTGCAAAATGGTTTCTTGGGAAAGACAGTAGAGAGGAGAATAAGAGAGGTGTGGCCATAGCATCTGTCTCCAAATAGCCTGAGATATCTGAACCCTGAATGAAAGAGAAGTTAAGGAAGAAAGGCTGAGCAACGGTGTTCACAAAAAGATTTGTAAGGTTCTGGGAAAAGACACATGTCTTTCCAACTCCCAAGAACATAGTAAGACCCAATGCCATTAAAACGGCTAGGCTTGACCTTGACCTTAGACCATGTGCAGTTTCAGTTGGCTAGGTGACCATTAGCAGAGAACGGAGTAGTCTTCCCTTATCACTATGTTCAAGGTCAGAACAACAGCAGTGGTATTCTGAAAAATAGTAAGTAAGCTCTCATTAAATATTTATCAAATGGATAAATAAATAAGTTATTTCCTCACATGGCTGGGGAAGACTTTAGGGGAGAATGAAATCCTACCTAAGCAACTTACTTGGAAGATGATAACTAAGAGCAACAGTAATTTAGAAATCAGTATCACCTTTGGCTACAAGGCCTAGGAAATTTGAATTACATGCAATTTTTTAAAAACTGCATTTGTAATACTATTTCTATTTCTGGGAACAATCTTTATAAAATTATGAATCGGTTCTATTTTATTTTATTTTAATTAATTAATTTATTTATTTACAGACAGAGTCTTGTTTTGTTGCCCGGGCTGGAGTGCAGGGGTGTGATCTCGGCTCACTGCAACCTCCACCTCCCGGGTTCAAGCAATTCTCCTGCCTCAGCCTCCAGAGTAGATGGGATTACAGGTGCCCACTACCATGGCTGGTTAATTTTTGTATTTTGAGGAGAGATGGAGTTTCACCATGTTGGCCAGTCTGGTCTCGAACTCCTGGCCTCAGGTGACCTGTCTGCCTCAGCCTCCCAAAGTGCTGGGATTATAGCTGTGAGCCACCGCACCTGGCTGAATCAGTTCTAGAAGTTCAGGCCTATTAATATAAATATACTACCTTCATGAGTATAATCTTCTGGCAAAATGCATCTAACATTTTTGTTCAGAGATTATTGTTTTTCTGGCAATCATATTAAAAAAATAAAGAATAGAAAAGAAAAAAATGTTTTACTGTTAATCTAAAGTAGCAATTTTCAACTATTTTGGACTTTATACATATCTGAGTATCACAAAAATCACAAACTTTGTGTCTATATTGGAATAGTGTCTTTGTGCAAATAGCTATTATATATGTCTGCCATGACAGTGGTCTTTGTTGGTTTCCAGCCAAAGGAGAAAAACAAGAAAATAAAAATGCCTTGGAACTCTGGCTCCTATAGATAGGTTATGGGCTAAAAGTTGTTGCAGGGGGTGGATCCGATTAAGTGAGGGTCAGATTTTAAGAGCAGTAAGCTAATATATTTTTCTGCCCTGATTCTTTTAATCATTTTGGGGTTCTTGTTATAAGACAATTTCCATTATCGTAAACAAAGTTTGAATTCAATAAGGTTGTGCGATTACACATTCAGTGTGGGATTATAATAACCTATCCCAAGCTTGGTTTCTCTTTGACTATTTCTGTGCTTAGTTTCTTTAAGGCATTATAACCCTTCACATATGGTTCTAGAACACTGATTTTCAGTCTTAGTTGTACATTAGAATTATCTGGGGAGGTTTTGAAACTCCTAATGCCTATGCCATACTCCAGATAAATTAAGTCAGAATCTCTGGGGTGAGAGCCAGGCATTGGTATTTTTTATAATGCCCCAGGTGACTCTAATGTGTAGCCAAGATTGAAAACCAGAGTTCCAGACCCATTTGCATCACTTTCATTGGGGTCCTTATTAAATAATCAGACATGGCTCCAAAACTATTAACTTCAAATCTCTATGGATTGGCAAGAGGAATCTGTATACTTATCTGGACCCCACATGATTCATATGCACAGCAAGTGTGAGATCCCTTAGTTTACAGAGTTAAGGTGTCTCACACTGACCGGCAAAGCCATTGGAAAGCAGGAAAATTTCTCGATTCTAGTCTGAAAATCTTCTAGGGTTGGAGACAAGTCCATTTTGGAAGTTTCTTTGGAGGTCTTTATTTCACCAATATTTTTATATAGTTTGCAAGTGTCAGTAATAACTTCAGGTAAAAATTTACGCAGTTTTTGAAGTGAATTCTTGGCCTGGCATGGTCATTCATACCTGTAATCCCAGCATGTTGGGAGGCCAAGGTGGGGGAATTGCTTGAGCCCAGGATCTCAAGACCAGCCTGAGCAACATGACGAAACTCTGACTATATAAAAAATACAAAAATTAGCTCAGCATGGTGGCATGCCTATGGTCCCAGCTACTTGGGAGGCTGAGGTGGGAAGATCATTTGAGCCCAGGAGATGAAGGTTGCAGTGAGCCAGGATTGCACACCACTGCACTCCAGACTGGGTGACAGAGTGAGACCTTGTCTCAAAAAAACAAAACAACAACAACAACAACAAAAAAATAAAAATAAAAGAAAAAGAGGAAAGAATGAGGTGAATTCTTTATTAGGGAATATTGGTTTTCTAGTGGAAAAGTATACTGTACAACCACCAGTACTGTACACCAGGTATTTGGTAGATACACCTGATAGCAATAACTTAAGCATACCCTGAGAATGACTCTGCATGGCACATGCACCCAACAACAATGATAAGCTAAGTAGAGGTTGCCAGGTAGAGGGCATTAAGTGAAAAACGCTATATTAACTGCATGCTTTCTGCAGGCAGTGGTGGCTCTCCTGTCCAGCCTACTGCCACTGGGCAGCTCTGTATGTAATTCCCCCTTGATAAACCCTGTCTCCTTTGCTGGCTCTGGGTCTGCTCTTCAGCCTCTCAAACCTAGTGCCATCCCTACTGAAGTAAACAGAGGTCCAGCATGACAACAGGAGGTCAGAGAAAACTCCATGAGTGCCCAGAAGATAGGATCTGAGAAGGAGAAATCTGCGAGATAAATCCTAGGCTGGCCATGCATGTCTGTGTGGGGCCTGGTAGCTGTTATACTTGATGGATGGGGCCCACCACATGAGTATGGAGGTGCCTTGAAAACACTGAGTGGTCTGGAAGAGTTGTTGCAGGGGGTGGATCTGACTGAGTGAGGGTCAGATGCCTGAGCTGTGGGAGCCACAGTTGGTGGGCGGCTTCTGACCCTGCTCCAAGCAGCCATAGAGGCTGAGCTCATGGTGCAAGTGAGGGTCTGCCAGTTGCAGGACGAGCTGTGACTACAAAGAGGTGCCAGACAAAATGGAGACCCTGGCTTTTCAGGTAGCCTGTATGAAGAGTCACCAACTCCCCTGCACCCACTGGAAGCAGACTCGCACGACTGCCCCCCTCTCCCGCCCCCTGGAAGACAGCAGCGCACCACAATATGGGACGACCCCACTGTAGAATTGGTGGAGCTAAAAACAGGTTAGGACAGAAGGGTAGAGAGTCAATCATGGGGTGGCTTCTCCATCTGTGGAACATGCAGGCAGAGGCTATTATACTCTCCAGACTTGAGATGAGTAAAATGGCAAAATGGCATCCATCACAAACCACCCGGCCTGGAAGCAGCACCTCTGTGGTGCCAGTAATGGAGACGGGGCCATCCCCCTCCTCAGCTGGGTGAGTGTTGCTGCAAGATAGCCAGGCCAAGTGAGGGAGATGTCCCCACGTGGCCTTTGTGATGACAGACTATGGAGGGATTGCAGGGCACTCCTCCGGGAATTAGGAGTGAAGCATGCTATCTATGCTGAGCATTGCCAAGGTCCCAGCAATGAACTTTTCTTGCTGGCATGAAAGACGCCATCTAAGAGTCCCTGCCAAACCAAAGGTATGGTGCACTCGTCTGTGCGTGGGGTTGTGAGGGGGTGGTGGTGCACTGCTGGGATGAAAGACAAAGGAGCCAAAGGAAAGGAGACAGATGAGGGGCCCATCAGGGTGGCCTGCTGAAGACATGGCATGGCATGCTAGCAGGAATGCCTACTGTGAGGGTGGAGACAACCTGATGCTGTCTTGGTCAGGCTATGGCAGAAGCTCAAGCCAGAACAAAGTTTCATTAAAGAGCCTCAGGCTCAGTTCACTGCCTCTCCTGCAGAGAGATGGCAAGGGCAGGCACTTTTAGACCTGGATGAAGGCCAAGGCTTCAAAATTCTGATGGGAGCAATGGTGGCCAGGGTGTCTGAGGACAGAGGCCATATGTAGAACTAACTATATATTGGACAAATAAGAATAGGCTGTGCTTGCCCTAGTGGATACTAGAGTGGAATACACTCTCATATATGGTAACATTCATCAGTTCAAAGGGCCTATAACAACAATAGATGGTTATGGAATGGAGGGGGTACCTATTTTCCATTGCATTAATGATATGCTGGTTTCTAAGTCTTTTTCCAGCCTGGAGGCTGCAGCCCCCACCTTGTTGTCCCACTAGGCAAATGGAGGATGGATGGTTGATGCAGAGAGGGTCCAAGGTTCAAGCGTTTTGGTCAGGTGCTTGGGTGTCATCTGGTTAGATGTTAGGCAGAGAACCTCTTCACTGACTGGGCGCAGACTGTGGCCTCTCTCTAGAACAAGACGGACTGTTGGGTCTATGGAGAGCTGCTGCTTTCCACCATGGGCCTGCCGTGGCATGTACAGGATCAACTCCCAAGTGCTTGGAAGAACAATCTTTGCAGAGTGATTGTTATTTGTTTTTTGTTGTAGTTTTTAGTGCTGCTGCCACATCTGGCAGCAATGCTCCTCTGCATACCTGGCCCTGGGGAAATCACGGAAGAATGATACGATAAAAATGTTAGGGCCATTCAAGGAGATTCTGAGCTGAGGTGTATGGTAAATCCACCTGATAGCAATAACGTCTTAAGCTAGGTGGAGACTGCCAGGTGGAGGGTGTTAAGTGAAAATGCTATTTAAACTGCATGCTTTCTGTAGGCGGTGGCAGTTCTGTCCAGCCCGCTGCTACTGGACCACACTGTATGTAACCTCCACTTCAATAAACCCCATGTCTCATTGCCTGGTTCTGGGTCTCTTTGGCCTCTCGAACCTTGTGCCATCCCCACTGACATTAATAGCAATCCAACACAACAAAAAGCTAAAAGAAGCCATCAAGTTAAAATTATAAAGAGTAACTTAAAGTAAGAATTAATGATAAGAGGAATTCTAGAAAAGTATGGAGCTACATAGTGAGCCTTAGCCTCCCCCTGCCTTACTACACAAAATGTTTCCTAAAAAATTATAATTGTTTTTAAAGGAAGGGAAAAAAATAAAGACCCATAGCAATCCCCATTATATTTTAAAGTATTAGTCCATTAGGCATACCTAACTTTTTAAAGTTTGTAAAGTATGTCCTGAAACGCCTCATCTGATCTTAACACACATCTGTTTAGAGAAGCAGGACAAAGGATTGTTAATCACAGTTTTTAAAGAAGTGTTATTTCCACACTCAACAGTGTCAAGGTCTCAGTGCTTGTTGAAGTGAACTGAATTACTGGATGAGAAACCTTAGGCACAGATCCATTAAATGCCGAATGACGCTTCATCAACTTACCAAGATAGAGTTGTATCAGAAACTCAGGTCCAACCAGAATTCCTCCCCTCACAGCATGGTTCCTCCAGTATCATTTGGTGATTGAAGGTAGTGGTCATTCCTTAAGTCAGTAATCCTCAAGTTTGGTGTACTGAAGGATCATATGGATGTTTTTAACTAAATTCAGGCTACCAAGCAAAAATTCTGATTCAACAGGGCTGAAGTGGGGCCAGTAATCTACATGTTTAACAAGTGTAACATAGAAGACAAAGCACGTAATTGCCAAATATGTGATTAATGCAATTAAGAATGATCATGAAAACAGCAAATATCATTGACTAACTTTGAGAAAAGTGAAATATGGAAGTTACAAAAGTGATTCATGACCCCAATAAATATTGGTTAAATGTAGGACTGCATTAATCACTAATATACAATTAAGACCAAACTGACTTAAAGTAGTTAGAATATACAAAGAGGGAAGTTTTTGATTGTTTTTTTCTGGCCAACTTTCTCAGTGGTAAAAAATATATATATATATATAATATATATATATATATATATATATATATAATATATTGTATGTATAATATATTGTATATATATTATATATATTGTATAAAATATATTATATATAAAATATATTTCCATATATATATAATATATATATATTAGGGAGCCTTTTATCTTGAGCTAATGTGATAACATGGGCCACTTCTCCTAAACTGTCCTGTTTCTTTCCAGGCTCAGTGGGCTCCCAGATCAGCCCTCTTTTCTTGAAAAGTAGGAAAGAAGAAAATGTGCTCTTAAAAGGAATCAAAGGCTCTGGAGCTGTGCACAGGTAGAGAAGAATGTACAGAATGCCTTCTGTGGGAAGATGGGAAGGAGTTCTGGGAGTGAAGAAATAACCTTTCTCTATGGCATTACATTTGTTACCAGGCAATACATAAAATACAATTACTCTAGCCAGTCCCAAATGCAGCTGTCAGCACAAAACTGCTTGCTTAAAAATGCTTTTCAAAAGTTTGACCTGTAGACAATTTTGGTGCTCAATTCATTCTATAATTTACACACACAGAGGTGTGTGTATGTGTGTATATATGTGTGTGTGTGTGTGCCTGTGTGTGAGCGCATGCGTGTGTTTCACATTCTTCTATGATATATATATATATAAAATTTGATAATTCTATACCAAATCCAATACTAATCATTATTCTTATAAAGTTATAACCTCATGCTACTTTCATTACCATAAAAAGGACATCTAATAGCTGAAATCCAAAACACAACGAGTGCTGGTAAGGATGTAGAACACAGGGACTCTCATGCATTGCTGCTAAGGATACAAAACAGCCATGTTGGAGACCTTTTGAAGCTTCTTTTACAAAACTGAATGTACTTTTACCATAAGATCTAGAAATTGCACTACTAGGTATTTGCCCAAATGAGCTGAAAACTTATGTCCACACAAAAACCTGCCATGAATGTCTATAGCAGCTTTATTTATAATTGCCCAAAACTAGAGGCAACCAAGATACTCTTCAAATGCCAAATTTATAAACAAACTATGGTACATCCATAAAATGGATTATTACTCAGAGGTAAAAGTAAATAAACTATTAAGTCCTAAAAACACACGGAGGAACCTTAAATACATTGATAAGTGAAAAAAAATCAGTCTTAAAAGGCTACATACTATGTGATTTCAATTACATGACATTCTGGAAAAGGAAAAACTACAGAGACAGTAAAAAGATCCGTGGCAAAGGTTGAGAGAAGTAGGAAAGGATAAATAGGTGTACAGGGGATTTTTAGTTTAGCGAATCTGTTCTATATGATACTGTGACAGTACATACATGATATTATACATTTTTCAAATCCCACAGAACTATACAATACAAAGAGTGAACTCTAAACTACGGACTTTGGTAATAAGGTAACAGTATTGGTTCATCAATTATAACAAATGTATCACAGCAATGAGATATGTTAATAAGAGAAATTATGTAGGAGGAGGGATATATGGGACTCTGTACTTTCTGCTTGATTTTTTGGTAAACCTAAAACTGCTGTAAAAATTAAGTCTATTAATGATAAAACCCCAAAAACATTTTAAAAAGCATATGGAGGTAATAATGCCGATGCTGGAAATAATTTTTCCAATTTGTCACATATTGATAAAATAGTTGTTAAAATAGACCTATTAACTATATATTTGTCACTCCTGTATCATGAAATTTAAAGTTCTTTAAATGTCTAGCTATTTTCCAAAAGACATTTAGTTAACATTCTGTCATATAGGACAAAATTTAAAAGTCCCCCAATATAGCTGTCTGAAAAATTGTTTAATTTTCTTTTTCCAAATGAAATGTTCACGCCATATTTGTACAACTCTCATTTTTATTGATTTTCAGTATAGTTTTGATTTTCACAAACCTTAAATATTTTGCCTATATTTATTATTATGTAACTGAACGTGATAGTTGCTAAGCTATGAAATTATCACTTTTGGCTATTCAAAGCCTTATGTAGTATTTCTCAAATTTCAGTGTATATGAGAGTCAACTGGGAATTATTTTAAAATACAGATTCTGATTCAGTTGATTTCAGGTGATGCCTGTTTATCTGCATTTCTAATAAACTTCCTGAAGATCCTGATGCACGAGCACATTTGAGTAGCAAGGTTCTAAATATCTAGGTCATAAAACTATTACCACCATGAAAAACAAACCCAGATACCTAGCAATCCTTGCAAGAGTTTAAAGAGCTCTTTTTCTGTTTTTCCTAGCTGAAGAAGCTTCCAGGGCCCCTAGCACTTCTATAGCTGCTTTCTCAATATATCACCCTTTTCAATTTCATCTATAAAGAGGACAGCTTGCTAACCTTTGTACAGTGAGTAAGCTATCCATTTATTCATAATACTCATGGCTTATATGAACCAAAGACCATCTATTTCCAGTTCAATTATCCAATTTGTACGTCTAAAAATCACAGAGAGATCAAATGACTGACTCAGGGTCACTTATTTAATAACTGTAAAGGTCAGGTCTCAAATCTGGGTTTCTGCTTCCAAATCCAGTCCTTTTTCCTCTGTTTTCTGTTGCTTCTAATAATGCAATGCAGAAAATAGGGACTAGGTGGTTTAGACAACAAAATCCAAGTTCCCACTGCAATTCCCACTGCAATTCCTAACATGGGTTTAAAATCTTGTTGTGGGGGTGGTCAGATGTATTAAGGGGAAAGATTTCTTTGTGCTTTGAAATGTCTTGAAATTCAACAAAATTATATTAATTTATAAGCTTGTCTGAATATAGTATGAAGCTATATTTTATATATTGTTTGAACAGAGTATGAAGCTATAGTTTGAATATAGTATTTATAAGCTTGTTTGAATATAGTATGAAGCTATGAGAGAAAAGACTTGGGGTGGCCAGTCTGTTTCCCTCTGGGCACTGCCTCTGATGCCACATCACAGGGTAAGTAAGGGTAAGTAACATGGTCTTCATGGGATTAAGTGAACATCAAGGCTCCTGAGATTCTGGGCTCCTATCTTTATCTTTCCAGGGCTGTTTTGAAGTGTCCATGTGTGAAGGCTGAGCAGTGATGCTAGCTAGCATCAGGGAGACCTAGCCTTGGCACCTCTGGGCCCAACCTGAGAAAAATCAATAGCTTTTCATTGCTTTGTTGGTGATCTGAGCTTTTAGGGACAATTCCAAGTAGTTTAGATGCCCGTTGTACAAAGCACACACGCCCATGCACTACAATAGGTTTCTACGGAAATTCTACAAACTTCTGGCCATGGCATGTCTCCAGAAAAGTACAAGATGCTCCCAAAGTCACAGAGCCTGAAGGCACTCTGTTTTTTGCTGGTGCTTGGATACAGCTCTCGCTGACAAATCCAGCTTTGCCTTATCGTTCTTAATACCATTGTCTTACCCATCAATACAGTAATCATGGCTTGCCTATTCCTTCCCCACTCTTCCTACTATGTGTCATTCCCCTGTCTCTGATCAACATTCTGTCCCTCCTTCAAGACTCAGCTTGCATGTGGCAACCTCTGTGAGAATCTCCCTGACAGCTTAGAGTTGGCTGTGGCCCCTCTGCTTGCTGAACACCTACAGTGCTAAGGCACCACACCATTCCTTTGACATTTATGTTCACCCCTCCTTCTAAGAAGAAATCATCACTAGTGGGATCTACTTTCTTTAACCTTCCAAGATAAATAAGAATTGGGATTTAAAAAAGAAGTGCAGGTAGCATACTTATTGAGCTTTCAAAGATTTTCACACTAAAAATGCCAACATGTAAGAAGGAGAAAACTGGCTTAAGGGCAGGGTGGCAGTTTTGTGTTTTGTTTTTTTTTTTCTGGGTATCATCTCTGAACCTAATCACCAGAGTAATTTTTGGAAAACTTAAAGGATGTGGCTTTAGGACAAATATGAAAGAGACAGATATCAGTTTAATGTAAAGTGCATCTTTTGGCAAGGATAGTGGGGCAATAATAAAAAGGGATGACCAGAAGACTACAAACTTCCCATGCCACTGGGAGGATTGAAACACAGTCTAGGAGTCCTCCACTGTGGACATGGTGTATTCCATGGGAGAGAAGCAGCATTAGCCAAAGCCAGGGCTCTCTTCTGCTCTCAGATTCTATGATTCTACTACAAACAAGAATGATGATGGCTTGTATACTTTGTAATCAATAATAATAAAAGTACAATGACTATGAATAACTTACTGTGCTGACAGTGAATCCCATTAAATCCTCGGGGACATTTACAAACATAGCCTATGAATGTATCCCCTCGGTATGCTTCACTTATTTCACAGGTTCCTCCATTATGGCATGGATTAGGAGTGCAGGGACCTGAAAGACAGAAAAAAATATTTCTGCTTGATGCATATTCTTAAAAGTAGACATTAGGTCAACATTTTGCAATTAATAATTTTACAGAAAAAAGTGTTCTAGATATTAGTGGCATAGTAAATGTACTGGTTGTATGAGCTCTGGAGACTAATGGCCTGGGTTTGAATCTTGGTTTCACCACTTCACAGGCGTGCAGTCTTGAGAGATTTACTTACCTTCTCCATGCCTGTTTCCTTTTCTGTTAAATGTCAATACTAAAAAATTTGCCTTAAGAGGTTATAATACAGATGAAAAGAGTTCATACATATAAAATACCCAGAACAGTGTCTGTCACATGTAAAGTACTCAAAAAATTATTAGCATTAAATTAGATATTATTAAAATTTCTGAATTGTAGAATACCTTCTGGGTGTTTAAAAAGTAATATTGAATAGCAATTTCTGGAGTTGTATTCACAACTCCACAATTTTTGTCCCCTGCTGGTACAAGCAGCATATGGCTGTAACCACATAAACCAAGTGAATTGGATAGCTGGCTGCAAAGCTTTTATAGAGTATGAGTTTATGGTGGAGCATACCTCTGGGGAAGCACATTTTCTGCCAATCTAAAACGAGCAGTCCGTCAAAAGTTGCATACTTAGAGAAGAGGGGCTGATGGTCATTTTTAAACTTGAGAAAGTAACAGCAGATTATTTAGTACCTGTGGCTGCTAATGAAAGTGTGGTGCTGCTCAGAGCTCTCTTGGAGAAAACCAGCTGCCAGGAGTGTGGTTAGCTGACAACATTCAGCTACTGAACCACAGGATCTGCTGTGGCAGCATTTATTTTAAGGCCAGGCTCCCCAGCCAAAAACTAAATACCAAAGGGGCATAGAGCTAGCTGGGCCAGTCGTGCCTGACCTGAGACTTCTCTAATAAACATTCTGTACTCTGAGGTGCCCCAATGGTGTGGCTGAGATTTTTCTTAAAACCATAGCAGTTTGAGACTTTTTCTATGCCATGTTCTCTCCTTCCTTTTCTCCCTTCAAAGTGACAGGCTATGTCACGGTCTGTAGGCTCATCCTATCTACTCTTGCTCTCTCTCCCCTTTGTGCATCACAGACATTCCCCCCAAAAATCTTTTACACTTTTAATTCTATCTTACAGTCTTCTTCCTGCAGGATGTTAATTGACTCAGGACAGAATCCAGACTTGAGATTGTGAAGAAGGGAAGAGTCAAGTTGAAGGAAGGAAAAGCTCTCCCTGGGAGATGAAAAAAGACAAAAACAAAAAACTACAGTTTTCTCTAATTTAGTCTGTACTGATTTTAATTGGAGAGAGTAGAACATATTTATAAGGAAAAGAAAAGCCACTGAAGAGGAAGTTAAGATGTACATATTAGAAAAGGAAAGCAAGGGTAATTAAACTAAGTATCTGACTGTGTATGAAGAGGTGATTTTGAGAGCCCTAGAGGATTTGTTCAGAAAAGGAGTGAGTGTGTTCAGCTGAAACAAGAAGCAAGGTAGAAGAGCTGGACAAATGAATAATAATAACTTGAGTCAACTGGGTTGGGGCAAGGGTATTGAACAGAGAGTGCTATAGAGAATGACTCCTCCTGCATGGGTCAAAGCCACTAATAAAAACAAGAGCTGAACGAGGTGGTGCACGCCTGTAATCCCAGCACTTTCAGAGGCTGAGGCGGGCAGATTGCTTGAGCCCAGGAGTTCGAGACAAGCCTGGGCAACATGGTGAAACTCCACTTCTACAAAAAATACACACACACACACACACACACACACACACACACACAAATCCAGGCATGCTGGTGTGCACCTGTAGTCCCAGCTACTTAGGAGGCTGAGGTGGGAGAATTGCTTGAGCCTAGGAGGTTGAGGCTGCAGTGAGTTAAGATCACACCA
Source organism: Homo sapiens (assembly GCF_000001405.40). Classification (NCBI taxonomy): domain Eukaryota; kingdom Metazoa; phylum Chordata; class Mammalia; order Primates; family Hominidae; genus Homo; species Homo sapiens. Next base: position 84,182,417 of record NC_000005.10, read on the forward strand.
CTGCATGCCAGCCTGTGTGACAGAATGAGACCCTGTCTCAAAAAACTAAACTTTAAAAAAAACAAACAAACAAACTTGTGAATAGGAAAAAAAAAATCACCAGCATCACTTCAAGCACTGCAATCGGACCTCAACCATGGGTGGGAAGCACTTAGAAGGTGGGCAACTTTGTCATGCACTGGGGCAAGATTTTATGAATCTATTTCTTCTTCTGAGAGCTGTATTTGACCCTCCATTTTTTTCCATTTAAAATGTTATGAAATTCAACGGTTGTGGAGTCTAACAAAGAAACACATGGAACAGGAAACAATGTGGCAACTGTACAGTTCCCGGACCTTGACTTCCCGATAGGACTGATTTTCAAAAAGTAAAAAGGATTCAGGGGCTCTGTGATTTTTTTTTTTTGTCAGCACCACACCAATTAAAAACAATATATTTATTTAAGTAGACAGTTTTGTGCTGTGAAGCACATATCAATTAAATTATCTAACACCTGCCTTCGAGGTGGTACATTGCCAATATTTGAGACAGGAAAGAAGGTGAATGACCAATGACTAGTTATAGAACAATTTGAACCATTTTCTTTCATTGCTACAAAATGAAAATCATGCTGCAGAACCTATCTCTCCTTCTCCTCTCTCTGTTTCCACTTCCTCCCTCCTCACAAATTAATTAACATTTGATAGTGCCTTACAATTTATAAACTCTTTTCACATAAATCATCTCATTTATTCTTTACTATAACTTAGGTCTTCGTCATTATCATTCTCTTTTACAGTTTTTTTTTAAATACTGAAGGTCAGAAAGATTATATAATATTTCTCAATCAATATCTACCAGTGACAGATTGAGGCCTCAGACTAAGAATCTGGGATTCTAAAACCTATACCCCTCAGAGCATCAACTAACTGGGGAGGGGAGAATGAAATGATAGTGATGTTAGAGTTTTGACTCATCAATTCACTTCAAATGAGAGTAAAAATGATAGATTTTGAAACTAACTGATAACTGACAGCCAAGCACATAACCGCTAAAGAAAAAAATATATAAATAATTACAGTCAAAAATTATATAATTTTAAGCAAATAAGAGTCCTTGGAGATCACTTAATCCAACTTTCCAGTTTTGCAGGTGAGGAAAAAAACCAAATACGAATTCAGAAATGTTCCCTAGAAACAACTTAATATGAGAAAAATTAGGTTTAAGGACTTGTTCCTAGGAGGAAAAATAGTTATTTAAACCAAAACTGGTAAGAAATTACCGAAGAGAGTGGAGTAATTTATATCACAGAGAAAATAAGTCTTCCATGCTCCTTCACACTTACAGGGTTGGACGAGGGAGGAATAGAAAATGACTGAAACAGTAAGTCCTCTGCGAGTTCTTGAGAGCAGTTAAAACAGTGATTCTGGGCAGGTGCGGTGGCTCACGCCTGTAATCCCAGCATCTTGGGAGGCAGAGGTGGGTGGATAACCTGAGGTCAAGGAGTTCAAGACAAGCCTGACCAACATGGTGAAACCCCGTCTCTACTAAAAATACAAAATTAGCCGGGTGTAGTGGCGCATGGCTATAATCCCAGCTACTTCGGAGGCTGAGGCAGGAGAATTGCTTTAACCCGGGAGATGGTGGTTGCAGTGAGCCAAGATCGTGCCATTGCACTCCAGCCTGGGCTCCAAGAGCAAAACTCCATCTCAGAAACAACAACAACAAAACAACAACAACAAAAAACAACAAGTGATTCCAAGGAAGGAGGTAAATGGAAGTCTCTCTGACAAAAATGGGGCAAATAGGAACCTGGAATCTATGATGCTATTTACTCAAGCCTACTATGTCTTTGTAAAAGTGAAACTTGGCTAGAAGGTGAGAAGAGCAAGATGACCTAAATGGATCTGCGAAATAAAGGGAAGAGCTGGGGAATGGATGCAGAAAACTGAGAAGCAGAAATTCTAAAAGGAAAGGCAGAAATATAGTCTTCAAGGAGAGACAGAATCCAAGCAATGTGCTCGGAGGCTGTAATATGTGATGAAAAGTAGCTAGTAAGAAATTGTGATGTCCAAAATTCAGGTTTAAGTTGTTTGCACAGATGCTATGTGAATTGCTTCTGCTGGAGCATCTAGCTCTATAATAACAGCTGCTAAACACACAAGCCTGTGAGTGGTACTTGGGGAAATCAAGGGGAAAGGGCTATACTATTGATGTGGCTTATCCTGGCAGAAGGGGAAAAGTATTGCTGCATGTGATGCCCAAGAGATTCAAGAATCCAATGGGTTCAGGAAGCTGAAGATAGAGTGAACAGCGGTTTCTTAAGTCCCAAGCATTCTGGACACTTCCTGAGGGCACAGGTGAAGCCTGTCCAGCAATCTTGGGGCAGCCTCTGGGATTTCTAGATGATGTGAATTGGTACATTGGAGCTCATTTTATTTACACGCCAAAAGACATCATGACCTTGGCTGACATCTGGATTTTAGAAAAAGATTATGTGTTTCAGAGGTTATGGCTGCTGTTATTTTTCCTACTCCAAGAAATTCAGTGACTTTCATTTAATGGATGAGGATGGAGTAAAGCAAAAGGGCCAAAGATTAAACCTTTCTAGAGTCCCTTGCATGCATGCTAGACAATATGAGTGTACATATTATCTTTATAATGCCTTGTAAGACTATAATCTTGTTTTAGAGGCAATAAAATGGGCTCAGGGAGGATAAGTATCATATCCATCTGAAAAAGCATAGATTTTAACACACTCTGCCTAACTATAAAGTCTATGCCCTTTCCATTAAGCCACATTTCCTACCATGTTGAAAATCTGTGTATTCATGTTAGTCTTCACAGATGTAAACGGAATCAGCATGAATTCACTAAGCACATTCCTATAAATAATACAGGACTCCAAAATGGAAACATTTCAGAATATTTTCAGGAAATGGGTCACAGTGTATTAGATATTAGGAACAGAGGTAGGCTCTGTAATTATAATGTGAGACTGATGTTATGTGCCTTGTACAGACTTTTTTTCAAGTACTCATGACAGAGTGTTGAAATGAATGGTTTCCTATTGTTTTTCCCTACTAGACCATAAATTCTGTGTGGGAAGACTTAACGTTGGCACACAGTAGGTGTTTGATACATTTTGAATAAACAAGGATATGGCAATAATGAGTTCTAAAAATTATATTTGCTGCCTACACTGTATTCTAATTTTAGGTTTATGACATCATTTTCTTTTGGATTTTCACTCAATAATTAAGTTAGATATTTTCTGGAACCTTTCTACACCTTTCAAGCTTCTAGTCCTTTAAATTTATAATTAGATTCCAATGTGTTTTGTCTCTAATATGGTTTAAGCTTCAAATGTATTACACTGAATTGTAAATAACAGACCATTAGAATGTGTACTTTTGCATAATGATTACATGTATCTTAATTCTTTGGCAAATACATAATCAAGAAAAATGTAACTTGTATAATCTCATTAACTGTTTGAGTTACTTAATTTAACTACTTCTATATAAATAAAAACATTCACTTCATGTATGAGCAAGATAAAATGATCAGAATACAAGTTAGTATATAAAGATAACATAATAAATGTAGTCCAAGGTCTCAACTTACAAAAGTTGCTTCCTAGCCAAAAGTTATGTTTGATGCTCAATTGCAACAGTTTCCAGTTTTATTGCCCCAAGTGATAATAAGCAGGCTATTCATATGAGAATTAGAAATCCTGGAAAAGTTTTGACTTTGTGGTTACCCCCATTCCATAGTCTTCTCTATTTTGATACTGAAAAAAAATATTACTAAAGTAATATGTAAAGGTCTTGTAACACTATAAGTAATAATAATCACCTAGAGCATATAGTGTTGCTTATACTGGGAGGATAAGAAAGAAATGGACACTGCCCAGTATGTTACAGAAGGTGTTTCCCCCACTAATTTCAGGTTAAATAACATTTATTCATTAAGTACTCCTTATGTGCTGGTCTCTGCTAGTAATTTGGGATAAGCACTTTGTATGGTATTAAAATTGTCAGCAGCTGAAAGACAAATCTCACATCAGAAAAATATCCTTAGTTATCCAGTTTGGGTATCTCATTTTTTAAGGTAATTTCAATGGCTCTCTTTTACTGTGAATATACTATGCTTGGTATTAATACATTTCTTTGTTCATATAATGGTTCCTGGAAATTTAATTCTAGGATTTCCTAGTGGCAACATATTAAAACATGAAAATTAAGAATCGGCCATATTCTTAATTTTAGCAGCCAAAACTATAGTACATTTGAGGCATCTCATATAGTTTCTATAACATACCAGCACACACGCACACATACAAGCACACATGTATATCACTCTCACACAGCTTTGAAGCAGTTTAATAGCAGATCAAAGTTTGAGAACAAATGAGTATTATTCAACCACTCAGAGCTTGTAAAACAAAAAGATAGAAGACAAGGGCAATCTCAATTGCTTGTCACTTCAAAAGCCTTGTAAAGAAGTTTGTCTTTCTATGCATTAGGGCATACAGAAGAAGTATACAGAGTGGTGACTAGGAGCTTGTGTTCTGATTAGTATTCATAAAATTCGAAATTATCTGATTAGACAACAATGGTAATATCACTCTTAACAATGAAAGCATAAATGGACTTTCAAGATACAAGAGGCTTTAGGGAGTTTTAAAATCAATAATGCTGTAATACTTTTGCAGGTAATCTTTAAGTAGCTCCTAACACAATGGGGACAGCATATGATCAATATTAATGAACAACTGAATTCAACAGCATGCTTTCCAGGCATTTTTTATGCAAGCTCATATAAGTATGTCAACAAGATTAATTCCTCACAAAAGCAGTAGATCTATATGGTTTGCTACTTTTCTGCATCTATCTCCTCACAATTCCAATAGTAGAGTTAGAGTTATTTCCATATGTGTAATATGATTAGCTGCTTACACACTTAGAGACTGTGCCCGAAATCATGAATAACTTATAGTACACAAGCAGATTATTAGAAAGTGAATAGGTTAACATTCTCCTGTGATAATATGTACTAGGCTTTGGTCAATTTTTAAAAAATATGCCTCCAAAACATTGCCAGTTAGATATCAAAATAAATGTACACTTTATGTAGTAAGGAAATGCCAGTAAGGCAATTGCAACAGCATAGTTTTTACTAGTTGTTTACCACTAGAATAAAATAGGAATAGCTATGACCCCAAATTTCACCCCAAATTCTGGTGTTAAGAACATATCGAAGTTATCTTCAGTGTTGCCTTTACATTTAATAATTTTTTAACATTTTGGCAGTTGCCATTTTGAGCCACTGTCACTCTATTTTAAAACCAGTTGTAAAGAAAGAAATTATTCTGGGAACGCTCACATGATTGACGTTTGCAAGCTATTTTTTAAACACTAGTTGTTGCTTCTCATCCTGCTCTTTTTCCTTCTCCTTTGTACTCCTCCTCCTTTGTAAACGTAAATGTGCAAAATTCAGCCATTTGAGGATAAAAATCGTCTATGAGTATTTTGAATATGAAGAAAGACGTAAACTATTTTATGATACTATCTCAAACATTTCATTGTAGTGGAGAATCAGTAAATTTAATATATTTTTCATTGAACAAAAAAGCATTTGGATAGATTATAAAAATGGAAACCTGAAGATAGAGATTTCCCGCCCCCCCTTAAAACCTGTTGATAAATTTTCTTCTCAAGAATTAATACTAGACTATCTTTATATACGTCTGTCTATAAGAAGGCACTGAGATGACCAGTGGAGATGCTTTAGAGGTCTTTGTCCTTGTTTACATTCCCAGGCTAATGTAAAAATATGCCACAAACATGGTAGTTTAAAACAATAGAATTTTATTCCTTCAGAGTTCTAGAAGCTAGAAGTCTGAAATCAAGGTATCAACAGAGCCAGACTCCCTTTGAAGGCTCCAGGAAAAAGTCCTTCCTTGCCTATTCCAGATTCTGGTGGCTCCTGGCATTCCTTGGTTTATAGCAGCAAAACACGAATCCCTGCCTGTCTTCACAGGCCTTCTTCTAATTGTTTCTCTCCTCTGCTTATAAGAACTCACCATAAATCTAATACGTCTTCATCTTTAGATCCTTAACAATCTTTATGCACAAAGGCCCTATGATGGGCTAAACTGTGTCCCCCCGAGAACTTATATGTTGAAGCCCTGATCTTCAGGACCTCGGAATGTGACTATATTCGGAGATAGGACTTTTTAAAAGAGATAATTAAGGTTAAATGAGGTCATATAAGTGGGCCTTAATCCAATTGGACTGGTGTCCTTATAGGAATAGGGCATTTGAACACACAAAAGAGACACCAGTGATTCTGCCACACAGAGGAAAAGCCAAGTGAAGCCACAGCAAGAAGGCAGCTATTTGTAAGCCAGGGAGAAAGGTCTCAGAAGAAACCAAATCTCCAGAGCCTCCAGAACCGTGAGAAAACAAATTTCTGTTGTTTGATCTACCCAGTCTGTGGTATTTTGTAATGGAAGCCCTAGCAAACTAATACCCTGTTTACAAATAAGGTTGTATTCAGGGTTCCTGGTATACCTGAATTGGGGGTAGGGAGCACTATTTCACCCGCCTTATGGTTCCTGTGTAGTTGTTTTGTTATAGTATTGCAGTTGATTAAGTAAACCAGAGTTTTATGTATTAGAATCGGCTGGCAAAGCACTCATATTATCAGTAATTAAAATCTTAGCTAAAATTAATTTTACTTGGTTCTCGTCACAGAGTAGTGGTGGATAAGCTTTGATGGTGCTGGAGATCAGGAGAGCAGTCTAAATTTGGGGCAGTAACTAGGTAGAATCCAGAATTGGGTAGCCAGGGGACATCAAGGAGAGCCTAGCACTGCATGATAGGAGGACACATTAAGAAAGGAGGAAGATTTCCTGGGGTTAATCTTCATCCACTTAAACTATTGTTTAGAGTTGGGCTTGCTGATGGCAGTAGTTTTTCAGGCACTCAGCAACTTTCTGAGAAAGTCTTTATATATTAATTCCACAATGACAGGTAATCATTGTGGCACAGTAGTTGATGTCTCCTTTTCTTCAATAAATAAATATCTTATTAAATATTAATATGACTTTAAAGAAAATTAATAACCAATCACAGCAAAAGAGCTATCATTTTACAAAGTGATAACTATTGTTACAGCTACACTTTGTTAAGAGGCAGTCTCCCATTTCTTTCCCCCGTACATTCATCTTGCACACTGCTGCGAAAACAACCTCCTTAAACCACTACTTGCATAATGGAAATTCTCAGCTCAGAATGTTTTATTACTCAAAGAGAACTCTATATCAATACTCTGTAGTTATTCTGCATATACATTTTTTATCCTTCAAAACATGCTGTCTAATTTTGGGCATCTTTTAGTTGGCCAATAATATTTGCTGACTGTGTGATGTTATGGCTTACATAAAAATATGTAATGAACATATGACAAAAACAATGTTGCTGCTTGGTTTTCTTTCAAAGACTAAGAAAACTAAAGCTGACATAATATACTTAATAATAATAAAGCTAGTATACAGAAGCCTTTTGTGAATTAGTGAATACCATATGAAATTAAGTTATCATTTTTGAATTTAGTAATATAAGGCCTAGGTGCACCTTGAAATCTTTGGCCAGTGGGATAAACATGAACACCCCTATAATCTAAGAGAAACATAGATGGCAAACCTATGGGCTATGTTGATAATCAACATATTTTTATTTTTCCTGATGGCCTTCAGAATAACAACGATTTCCATGCAAAATTTCTTGTAAAAACTTTAGAAACCATAAATGTAATCCAACATAACTCATAAAGCACACATCAAACAATTTTCCTCAAGCTAAGAAAATTCCTTAAAAAGTCTTTCTTTTTAGATCAGGGAGCTATTTCCAAACAAAATCCTGCAAATCACTTTTTTAAGAAGTATATCTGTCAGAACTCACAAGCCATTCATTACACAATACAATTAAAGTTTGAGAATACACATCAGCTTGCAGTGCAAAGTCCTAAGATATCACCCAGGTTTGCCATTAGCTACCATAGTTTGTTTCATTTTCTACATATCAATTAGACAGGGCATAAGTTAAAGACAGAGCAGAGACCAGTATTTCTACATATATATATATATATGTGTGTGTGTGTGTGTGTGTGTGTGTGTATATATATATATATATATATATATAATAAACAAATATCTGAGCCCAAGTTTCAGGGGCATCAAGCAATCTCACTATTTCACATAGTGTCTCTAAGCAACTACAAAAATTGCATGTTCTTCATCAATCTTTCTCTGACAGCGCTTCACCTTTTTCAGGCTCCTACTCAACTTGCCACCTATACTGCATGATTAGCATCTCACTTTTCATTGCTTCATCCTCTAATTATTCCATAGATCTCTTTTGTCTCCCTCACTGAATTATAAATTAGTTTTGCATAGGAACCTTCACTCCTTATATTTTTGTACCCTCATAGTCCCTAATGAAGAGCTAAATATTTTGATATTGTTTCATAAATGTGTGATGATTGACTTAAAATTATTACTAATTTTAGAAATGTCAGCATATAACCCAAACTGCAAATCATAATCTATAACAGAAACCAAAAATTTAGAGATTGGATATAAATATCAGTAGCCCTTTTTCATTTACACTAGCAGGTTTCAACAACTCAATGTTAAGCTGCAGCCAAGCCTAATTCTCTTTGTTGAATGTTGTAGCAATCTGTAAAATATCAGATTTTGGATAATTTTATAATTATAAACAAAGTGTGTTAAAAATAAGTATACTATTTCCACAAAGCTACAGTTCTTTCTCCTATAATATAGCATAGTGATTTTTGATCTTGAAGGCAGTGGCAGGAGGTGGAGGAAAGGATTTCTATTTTTACTTTTGGAATCTGTCCTCCGTGACTGCCATGTTAATCATGAAGCAGAGAGATTCCTGCAGGAGATGTTCCTGCTGCACTCATATGGGAATGGCACCTACCTAGACTTCACAGCTGAGAACATTGGAAGCACAGCTGGACAGGCAAGTTACTGTTTAGATTGCCTCCTCAGGTCTCACATGTGGCTTCCTTGTGGCAGATTTGAGGAGGCATAAAACAAAGCAGGCGTGGATTCTGGCCAGCTGGCCATCTGTTCCTTCACCTACTGTGATAATTTGGTCTTGTAGAATTCTGTTAAGTGAGCATTAAGTAATGACCATGTCAAACAGAACATAATGACTGCTTATAATCACTGGATGAAAGCTTAAGGGATGCTTGCCCAAACACAGAAAAGGTCACCAAAGCAAACCAATATTTTTTTTAAAAAAAAGGAACAGCAAAATTGACACAAAACAGCAACAGTTAACTTTGTTTTCATTTTTACTTTTTATCATATTGAATCCATGTCAAATCACAGAGGGTGAATATGGTACAAAGGAGCTAAGTAAATACACTGAAGTTTCTACTGTCTCATTATGTGTATATCAATTTACATAGACAAACTAAATAAGAATTTTAAAACTAAGAAAATATGTGAGGGGCTTTATCACACTGAACTAAATTTAAGGCACTTAGGGTTATAGCCATTAACTTCAAGCTTTTCGAAATAGTTTCCCAGAACAACACCAAGTAGTTACTCATTAGTCAAAATACTTTTTCTGCTGTTGTTTTTAAAAAGATTAATTGAAGTATTTTATTCTAAGAAAGCAGCTTTTCCTTCATAAACACTTAATAATTGCAAAATCATAAGATTTTTTTACCCTTGAATGGATGCTTAATGATGCATCCAATAAACTATATTATTGGGATAGTGTCCTAACTGATCTCCTGCTCTTACACATCCTCCATAGCTACCCACCATGCAAACCTAATCAAAAAGCTTCTGTTAGCTCCTACAGCCTGTTAATCCAAAGTCCATAAATTTAAACTAATCTTATGTCTTCAGTGTTACCTCCCCTGTTCATGATAATGAACCAATATGCTTCACTTGGTTAATTTACCATTCTACCACCTAAAGATCATTTGCATTCCTAGAACTTTGCTCAAATGACTCTGCAGCCTTAAATGCCAAATGCCTTTCTTCACCTCCTCTTTTCCTGATGTCCTTTTCCTTCCTAGATAGCCCAAAGTTTCATATCAACTCTCCTCTATTGTTTATTTTTATTCCCTTCACAAGTTTTTCTATTACCATGTTACATACTATTTCCATCCATTGGTTCATTTGTTCACTTATTGATATAGTTATTCAGTTTATATTTAGAGCTTCTATTGTGTTCCACAGTGCTAAGTACCAGGGTTACAAAGGTGAACAAAACAGGTGCACCTTCTAATCTTGTGAAACGTCAGTAAACGAGAGGACTGACTCCAATCAAATAATCACATAAAGAAATGAAATTGTAAAGAAATGTGATAATCAAATAAGAAAAAGTGAATGTCATGAAGGAAAGGTCTCCTGTGCCCCAATAACCTATTAATAAGAGGGTCTCTGAAGAAGTGAAGCATAGACTAGAAGCCGGAAACCAAGTAACAGCTAAGGTAAGAAAGAAATGAGTATTTCATTTGTAGGATGTAGAAGGAGAAGGAGGGCAAGAAAAAGGGCCTGTGGTAAGACTAGTGTAGCTAGAACAGGCACAGCAAGGATAAAGAAACAGGGACCAAACCGGGCAGCCTTCAAAGGCCATGTATTTAAGAAAAATAAAACAAAACAAAACAGCTTTATGGACACATGAATACATTTAGACTAAATTTCAATTTTAAAGATGATTTGTTTGCTATATGGAGAATACTTTGAAAGGATCTATTTTCAAAGATGAAAATAGAGCAGTTAAGAATCATTGTACTTGTCCAGGCGAAGTGTGATAGGACGCCTGGATTAGAGTGGTGGGCTGGTAGGTATGGATGGAAGTGGACAGATTGGACAGAGAAGGGTCGAAGAAGACTATTCTGTTTCTAGATTTCATGTGTCAGTGGATGAATATTGGTGCCATTCACTGAAACAGCAACACTGGAAGAGGGTCTAGATTGAAAGAGAGGATCATGAGTAATCTTTATGGATATATTATTCAAAAAGAGGTAAGAAGTAGGCAGAGGAGAGTGTGGCCTGGAGATACTTAATGTTAGTGTTTGTGGAAATAGATGGCGATTAGTGGGTAAGGATATAGTTGCCTACTGAAAGTTTAGAGGTAACATAAGGAAAAGAACAAAGAATCCAGGATCAAGACTCAATTTAATAGCTAGATATGGTCTAGGAAAGGCAACATACAGAGAGGCAGGAAAAACATTAGTAGGGATGTGGTATCATTCTGGCACATTACTGCTTTGTGGTATTAATGAACAATTTAACATGTACACATTGCATCATTTGGAATGATGTTATGCTCCTGGAAATGTGAGATTTCCGTTTTATGTTTCTTATGTAACACCTCTCTGTTTTCTTGCAGAACCCAACAGATACTTGCTGAATGAAAATGTTCATAACTTCATGAATTGAATATACTGGCAAAGTGTTTTAGGAAAAACACATTTTAGGAGAAAATGTTCTCCTTTAAGTGGCATTATTTTATACCAAATAATATTCTAGTTGATCTTTTTGCTTATATAGGGAACCACTTTCACATTTTTTAAAAAAGTAAAAAGTCAAGTTGGAGAAACTGCCAATACCTATTGCTTCCAAAAGAAGGCTTATTTGGTCTGGAGAAGTAAAAGTAAAAACATGGAGAATGAAATACGTGATATTTGGCCAAAATGAAGGAAAGACAGTAAAAGAGTACACTGAGAAATTATACATGTTTTCATATTTACCTAGCATCTTTTTGGTCATCTTGTTTTGTTTTTCATGATCTGTCTTGCTGGTGGTGCTATCAATGTTGTGTTCTCATTTTTGCTGTCCTTAGAAGTCCATTTGCTTGACTACACATCTAAAACTGATTCCTGTAAGATCAATCTGACTAGAGAAGCCAGTTTAAACCCTTTTACTCCTAGGATGAGAAAATCTCGACAAAGATTTGCCCACAGGGATAAACAATGTGTGGAAGAAAAAACCAAAAAGCCATTTAGAAATAACATTATTACTTGTGTAAAAAACTTCTCTGTATGCTTTCTAGTAGACATGAAAATGTAGACTCAAATATTTGAGAAGTCTGAAAATCCACTTGAGAAATGTGTGTAACAATTTATTATAATTGCAAACCCAATTAAAAATGTTGAGCTATTGAACACAATTCATTTTATAATCCATGAATATATTAAATGTATGTAGCACAGATTTATGTTACTATAAAAATCTTTATTTCTACTTTTCCAGCATTATGCATTTAAATTTGTAAATTCTATGTTACATTAATCACATGAATATAGATGGGCAACTTCACTACATTTCCTATAAAAGAAATCATGCCTACTGACAATTTTGTAGGAAATTTTGTTAAAGATTGACTGTAGCTCATAAAACAGTAAGGTTTCCTTCACGAAAGTTATTAGACATTTTAGATCCCCTCAGTTTGATTGAAATGATAAAAAAATTACACTTTAATATCACTGTCTTTGGACACTGACACTGTATTTAATACTATACAGAATACGGTCACAGAGTCATTAAAAGAAGTGACAATAATCCAGGTTTGACTACACTGTGATTTAATATTTACAGTGTTTTCATGATACAAGTAAAATATGCTGATTAAAATGATCACAATGTCACCATCTGAATGGACAAAAAAGCTGAGGTTCACATCTTCAGTATAAGACACCTTCAGTTATTTCTTTCCACTATCTTTTCTTATTACCAATACAATTTCTATTATATGAAAGCCCATTAGTGTACAGAGAAATAATATGCAGTAGAGAAGTCTTTTGTCAATAAATATAATATCTTAAATAATTAGGGAAGTTACTATAAATATTAGAGAAGTTATTATGCTACTTAAATACAGTAGGTCTGAACTGTCCCTCTTTAAGATCGGTGTTATCAAGTGTAAAAGATTTTCAGATGAACAAATACTTTACTAGAAGTGTCTGAATGTTTGTCTTCTACCTGATCAGTACAGTAAAGTTTTTAATGTGATTTTTTTGTGTGACCTAATTGAAGTAGGTCACAAACAATGAAGTAAAGGGATTTAGGATTGTATATTCAGTCTTTAAAAATCAGTTATAAACGTGTACACTTGGTAATTTCCAAAGAAGCAGCTAAACAATATCCTTGCCTGATTGTACAAGACATTCTGATAGTTTCTACAGATGTGCTGAATTCTAACAGGAGATTGGCAAGCAGCAAAGAATGACCGTGCTTTGGGCTTAGAAGGATAACCATATTGTGGAAGATTAAATATCTTCTGGATGAAGAATGAGGCTTGCCCCCATGACCACAGTAGGAATTCTATTAAACTTGATGTAATATTTTTCTAGATAAAAGAATTTTGAAGAAGATTTATGTCATAGAACTTGAAGGTTCCAAATTCTCTTTGATCTATATGCTAGAGGGGAACCTGGGAAATTTCAAGGAGAAACTTACCTCTTTTCACAGGAGCTACCTAAGCCCACCTCTGGGCTAAAAAGTGCAGTCTTTGATTCAGACACCTGTGCTTGTCAGACCCTTCAATTTTTATAAGAGCATGACATTCCTACCTGTGCCTATGCTATCCCTTGGAGCATAAGGGTCTATATGCATTCACCCTGCACCTAACTCATTAAGAAATGTTGTTGCCTCTACCTTCAAAATGCTGTATGGCCATAAACTCAGGAAACACAGATGAATATACACAATAAATGATTTATTGATATTACTTTGCAAAAAAAATATAAATGATTTGGGTCTCCACAGTCCTTGTTGCTATGATGAACATGTCAATCAGGCTTCTGCATTAGAAACTTTGATTACAGGGAACTGGCTGTTTCCTCTCCCTGAGATGCTCTTCCTCTAACTCTCACCTCTACTAAACCTTTGCTCAAAATCACTTTCACAACAATGATTACCCAGAAAAGTTCTACTTAAAATTGGGAACCACAGTCCAATCCCAATATTTCTATTTCTCTCTTATTGTGATCTTGTTTTCTCAATGGCTTTAACGCCTTCTAACATAGCATGTAATTTATTTGTCATGTTTTGTGTTGTGTGGTGTTGTTTGTGTTTCTCTCCTGTGTTGTGTTGTTATTGTCCCTCTCCCCTGTTAGAATGTAATTGATGTGAGGACATAGAACTTTGTTTTGTTCACTGATATATCTCAAGTGCCTGGTAATGATGCATCCAATACATCTTTGTTAATTAAATATATCTCTGCTAGGAATGAAACTTTAAACTTATTCAATATCGATCAAAATCTGGAATTAGTCCTACATTATTCCAGATCAGCAGTTAGCCATGTACACAGGATCATTTCAACACATAAGAAAATGCTTTTATACCACTGTATTTTGTCTTATCCCATTGACCTATAAAATAAGACTAGAAACAATACCATGCTTTTTTTCCTGAGGAATTAAGTGCTGGCTTTGGATGCACATATACTAAGATTGGAATGATACAGAGAATATTAGTATGGTTCCTACACAAGGAAGTAAGGAATTATGTCAACTGGGACCCAAGGATCAGGATCTCTAAATTTGAGGCCAAGAGTAGTTTTGTTTATCATGAGCAACAGGTCCCGCTTATTCTGTTAGACATTATGGTCTTATAACATCATTTGAACATCAGCACAACATTAAGTACATGCCATGTGTGAGGCACTGAGTATAATAAGCAATATCAACATATTTAGTCAATGGCCTCTAGAATCCTATGTGCCAAGGGAGATTATAGACAAATAAATAGGCAACTTCAATATTATGAAATGAGTGTCAATGTATAGTGAATACAGAGAGTTCTGGGAGGACATAAGAGGAATGCCTAATCCAATATTGGAAACTTGGGTATGACATCCTAGAGTAATTAACCTCAAAGTTGAGGTTTACAGAACAAATAGAAGTTGGCTGTTTAGGAAGGTGAGTTAGAGGTTTTCAGACAGAAGAGGGAAATAACATGTATGACGACTCAAAGTTAAGTAAAGCAGTCAGGAGATGGAGACCATCTGGCCAACATAGTGAAACCCCGTCTCTACTAAAATACAAAAATTAGCAGTGCGTGGTGGCACGCGCCTGTATTCCCAGTTACTTGGGAGGCTTAGGCAGGAGGATTGCTTGAACCCAAGAGGCAGAGTTTACAGTGAGCTGAGATCATGCCACTGAACTCCAGTCTGGTGACAGAGCGAAACTACATCTCAAAAAAAAAAAAGCAAACAAACAAAAAAAAAGTTAAGCATAGCTAAATTTGTAGAACTGAAAGAAATGCAATATAATTGCATCATGAAGTGCAAGAGGGGAAGTGGCAGGCGAGAAAGCCAGAAAGATTTGCATAGCCTGATTATAACAAGCCTCACTAGGCAGATTAAGAAGTTACACTTTATGATAAGGGTAAGGGGAGGTCATTTAAGACATTTAAGCAAGAAATGGCTATTGAATACATATAAACTAGAAGTGTAGGATTAGCTACTTGATGGAATTACTGGGGATAGATTCTATTTCCTCTAAAGAGTATATGTCTGCCTCAACAGTGGAAAGGATAGTAGGAGGTAGTGTAATAGGAAATGAGGTAGAAACATTTTAAATACAACTATGGGGCACAACATCTGAGTAGGCAATCAGAGGACTTGTAGATAGTGTTAATATTTAGATAGCATTGAAGACTAGGAAACTCTAATGGTACCAATCTCTGCATAATGTGGCATTTCTTCCACTGTGATTAGCAGAGAAAGAGGATGATACCATTAATGCAAGGTTAGATGTTTTCTAGTTGTATGTGGGTCAAGGCAAAAAAAAAAACCATGCAAATGTGTGCAAGATAGTGCTTCTGATGATAGAATTCTTGGTCTTGGC
Source organism: Homo sapiens (assembly GCF_000001405.40). NCBI lineage: Eukaryota > Metazoa > Chordata > Mammalia > Primates > Hominidae > Homo > Homo sapiens. Next base: position 84,198,311 of record NC_000005.10, read on the forward strand.
TAGTAAGGGAAGAGAGGTCAGCCTTTAAGGAACTGAAAGAGTAGGATTTGGAAGTCTGAGATCCAAGACAGATGTATTTTAAGAAACTTAATTAAATCTAGATCTGAAAAAAAAGTAGTGCTGTAGTGAAGCCATATATATGCCTATATACATTATCTTGTGTATATATTTATAACAAGCTTAAAAAGTCTTAAGGATTAACATACTCAGCTATTGTTCTTGACGTGATCAGAATGAGTAAAGAAGAATTAGCAATGAAGTAAAATTCTCACTATGTCATCCAAGGTTATCGATGCCTTGTTTGTCTACCACCTAAAGTTGTCTCATGACAACAAGCAATTAGCACCATAGTTCTGGAAATACTGTGTTAAGAAAAGGAAGATTCCTAAGAATATGTGCAGCATGTCATGGAATTTGTATATTATGAAATGGGGTCTCACATGTCATAAAAAAATGTAAGCAGCAGACATTTGGATCTGGCCAGAGCAAGAATAGCTGTATGAGAATGGGAATTAGTAATGAAGATCCCTAGCCAAAACTTTTCTGGTTTTATTGGTCACCAAAGACATTAAGGTTTCTAAATGGAATGAGATTGCCTGGGCTATAAGATTTCCAGAATAATCAATTCCTAGCTTGCTTGATAGGAGATTAAGACCTCCGTGTAAAGAACAAATTGCAACTTTAATTGATTTTGCTTCTGAAGGAGACTTTGTTCTAGTGGGTAGGTAATGAAGTTTTCTAGTTTATTAGGATCTTTTATATTTTGAAAACAGTATGAGCCCTTAAGAAAGAAATGTACAGCCAAATCCTGGTTCATCTTTATCAGAAGGGCCTATGCTAGGACTGTGCAAACCTTTTATACCGAGACTTCACCCTAATTTCATCTTAGTTTGTTGACTTTCATTTGTTTTTGCCTTTGTCCTATTTTCCTTTACAGTGACATATAACCATCCTCCCCTTTACTAACTACTTATGGATGCAGGATGGAAAATATTTATACTATTTTTGCATACTTTGAAGGTTTAAACATCAGCAAAGTGAAAACAACTGACCTCAAAACATGATCTAACCCAAAGTGAGCACCTTCTGGGAGATGGTTTTCTGCTTGACAATACTTTGTAATGAACTTCATCTCTTATACTGAGGTAGATGTCACTATTAACCAAAAGCAGGAGCTCTGTAATGGAAGAATTGAATTAAGATGCAGATTTCTAAGCAAGAAGAGAAACATAGAGACCAGGATAGAGCACAGGGCTTGGATGGAGCATACCAACAAAGAGAAAATAATGTGAGGGGTTTAACTTTGTTTCTTTTACCCTGGATTTTAAAAACAGTCATATTAAGGATCAAGTTTATTTTTTATTTGTTGTATCATTCTTATTTCTTCCAGGTAGTCTCAAATCTCCCGTAAACATTTTTGCAACACAAAGTTTTCATGTCGTGGGATTGAAGGGACTTTAGTGGTGGGCAGTAAAAGGAAAAACAGGCTTCCATGTATCACAACTCAGCTGCGTTTAAAGCTCCATCAGCAGTGGTATATGGAGGAAAGCAGGAGCCTTGCAAATTTATTCTGTAACCAACTGCAAAGTTAGCAAGGGCTTATAGCCAAACTGAGAGCAACTAAAGCAAATAGTATCTAATGACTGAGGAAAAGAAGCCCTTCCCATGTCTATGGGTTTTTTAAATTTTCTAATAATGTATTGGTACAAGTCCCCCAGAAGGCTGAAGGATTAAGGAAACCCAGGTGATTGCAATCAGAACTATGTTCTGGGATTTATTTTCATAAGTGAATTTATTTAGGATATGAGTTATAGATATTGTATGATTTATATATGAATTTAAAGATAACTCTAAAACCTTTCTTAAAAAGCAGAGTATTAACACCAACATGGCACATGTATACATACATAATAAACCTGCACGTTGTGCACATGTACCCTAAAACTTAAAGTATAATAAAAAAGCAGAGTATTAATTTATTAATCTGTCTAATGAGTTTAAATTTTCTTAGGGGTCAATCATGACTATATGTAAAGAGTTTAAGCAATGAAGCATATTTGTTTCAATAAACCAAACTTGACATAAAAATAATTAATATTAATTATTAATTGAATAAATACAGCATGCTTTATCCCCAGACCTAAAGTAACACCATAAGTTTTGAAACAAGAATCATAACATACCAAAAAAAATTTACCATGTCTTCTTAAATTATTACATATCTTAAGTGATAATATTTGATGGGGTTTCAAATTTAGCAGGGAAGCATTATTTTATATAACACATCCAAATTATTAAACTTGTTACACAATTTTGTGATATATTACATTTGTTTTAACAAAACTAATTAGTCATATAATTATTCTAATAGCACTGAAACTCATTTTTAAAGAGACAAATTTATATTCAGTCCAAATTTGGCCAATGTTAGTAACAGACAGACATGACTACTATGTAGACATCGATAGTAAGTAAACACTTTCTTTGGAACGCATTGGCATAATGGGAAAGAAACGGAAAGAAATGTCTTTCTGGAGAAAGAGTGAGAAATCTTCAAGTCTATATGATTTACAGTGAAATTTATCCTCACAGGAAAGCCTAAGAAAATTATTTATCAAGTAATTCCATACAGATAAGCATACTTATTTTCATAGCAATGTAACTAAGCTAAGGTCACTCAGGCATAGAGCAGGGTAAATCAGATGTTTTATAATATTTTAACAGGTCTTTTTAAAATTAATGATACAATTTAATTTCTTGTATCTTAAATCTCAAATAAATAATCGTGAACATAAATACTAATTCACAAATATATGCCACTTGAGTCTTTTGGAGAAAGCAGTTAAACAACTGGCTTATAATCCATTTCTCTTCTGTTATCAGGGGTATGATCCAGGGAAAGAAAGAAAGGTAGGGGTATCAATTTCTTGTAAACAAGCTGACAACTAAACCTGCTACCAAATAGATGCTAGGATGAGAATCCTTATCTATGAATGTTTTCAGTAGGATGCCTCTAGTTTAGGATTGTTTCTGGTAAATAAATGTATTTACAATCTATGGATTTATAAAGTATAGCTCCATGGAAAATGTTATGTAAGCTATACAGCTATATGAAGACAGTTTATTACCTCAATACTCCCTTGTATGCTTGGTAGCTCATGTACCATACTTAGAGACTTCATCTGTTTTTCTGGGTCAGAAAGCATGTGTCTAATGCAAAGAAGGACTGGGTAGTTGTCATCAATGTCCCTAAACTGCTTTGTCTTACCCAGTATTAGTAAACTGATACTGGGTAAGATCTCTTATTTGTGCAAGGCTGATTTGCCAGTCTAATCTTTTGAATTATTGCAACTCTTTATAGTCCTTTCTATAAATGTTGTATAAACTAAGAGTAAAACTTGAAAGGTTCCAAATTCCCAGAAGTTAAAGAATGGTTAAGCCATCTACAACATAACTGCGAAATAGAATAGTATATTGCCAACTATATTTTGAAAGGTGAAATAATCAGTTACATGCCAAAATCCACATGAAATTCTATTCAATGCAAAAAGAGAGAGTGCACTTCATGCTATGATTAAGTAACGTGGTATGTAGACAATGACAGGCATTAGAAGAAGTACATAGATTTTAAAAATAGAATTAAAATAAAAAATTGTGTTGTAAAGAGTTTTAGAAAAGGGAAGGTCAACATACGCAAGAAAAACAGTGTGCTAGTCTAGTCATTAAGACTTCACAAATATTCCAGTTCTTAAATACACATGGTAGGACTGCACTTCTCCATCCCTTTTCAAGTTATAAGTGTCTATGTGAATTTCTTTGGCCAATAATGCAAGAAGTAATATGTGCCATTTCTTACATACATTTTAAGAGCCAGTTTGTAATTTATCATGTTTTCTTCCCACTGCTTTAGTGACTGTGGGAGAAACTGCTGAGATGTAGCCTTGTCAGCCCGAGACCCTGGGTATCTACAATGAGCAGAGAGCCCCTACTGACTCACACTGGATATATACTCCAAGAACTTCTGGATGAGCTTTCTCCTGAGCCATAAACAAGTTCATCTTGACTGACTCAGCAAGAAAAGGTTAATAGGAGTGTGATGTATTCATTTCATAACATCTTTTTAAACTAAAAAGAGCTAAGCAAAGTTTGTGCAAACAAAGAATTTTAGTACTATAGGATATCAGTGAGGAGTACATAGCAGGGAGTGGACCTGATAATATTGCAGACAAGAAACAAATGGGTGTAGAAGGTAACGCTAAAGAAAAGAGTGGAAATAAAGGTGGCTTGGATGTTTTATACCTGGCAGATAAATTGTAATGCCATTTATTTAGAGAGGGAATATTTGAGAGCAGAGGGGAAAAGTTGAGAATATTTATTTTTGCCCTGAGGCCATTAGATGTATCTAGCTGATGGCTGAAAATGAAAGTCTGAAATTCAAAAGAGAAGTCAGGGATATAGAGAAGACAGAGAAGAGAAAGCAGTCTCACACGTACTATGAACTGGTAATTCTTCTAAGTCTTTTAAATATAATATCTCCTATAATGATTGTAATTTTACCATTCCACTGGAAGAAATGAGGCACTCTAAGAGATTAAGCTACCCAGATTTGGCAGTACTATCCATAAAGGAACAAATAAAGCCTGAGAGATATTATAGAGGAAACAGGCAAGGAGACTGGAAAGACTATATTCAGGGGGCAGGCAAAAGAAACAGGACACTAAATAGGAACAGACACTTTTACAACCAAGTGACAGAGAATAGGTGCCACTGAGGCCAACAGGGAAAATATCAAGAAGTAATGGATTGTTGTTCATGTCGAATGCTCCAGAGAAAACTAACTAGATTTATCATCTTCAAACTATTGAATTTTGCTTCCAAATAGATAACTTGAGAGGCAAAAGCTGAAAATTACTTCGTTTTTAATATACTGATATTCTGTAGGCTGTCAAACTGAACAAATCTCAAAGATGAGGCATTTTATGAGCACTACACCTCATGTTTGCCTAAATTAAAATAAGAATTAAGTATCATTAGGAATACTTTTTAAATTTCTTCAGATAAAAAAAGTCTCCAGCAAAGATGACCCAACTGATGTTGAATGAACCCCTTAACAGGACTAAGTCATACAGGTAAATTAATCCCATAAATTGCTCTCAAAAGGAATCTGAATCTCAGGGCTGATGTTGGTGTGCCAGCAACACACGTTCCTGATGGGTCATAATGTTTAATGAGATGCATGGGAACCTCTGAATTGGATGAATATTCAAGTGATCTTCAGGGAAATCCTGAATTAGAATCAGCTCCAATAATTTAATTGAAAGGTCACATAACTGAGTGACTATTATAAAATCTATAATATAATGGAAGCACTGTACTCGCACAAGTGGCAGTTAAGAACTTTAGGTCAAGGGCTTATCTCATTTTTAGACTCATAATAAGACAATACTCTTTACTTTTAGAAAATGTCAACATTCCTCTAAGGAAAAATTACTATATTACTTAAGAGAAAACATTTGCACTTTTTCTATTAACTATATCCGAAGAGGGTAAGGAAGGCGTATATCACATCTGTAGAAACATTTTTTAAAAAAATACTTGGAATACTATATGTTTTTGCCAATCCTTAGAAGTGATCAACGGTTCTTGCAGATACTGATTCTATTATTAGAAAACAGCTTTTGATTTACCTGTTTGTCCAACAGGGGTCTCCGCTTTTGTTGTTTTGTACTTGTATTACTTTTATTCTTAAAAAACTAGTGAAAGCAAAACTTCAAATACAACTTCACCTAAGTGAAGAATGTTTACAACATTTAATGGTCATTTAGTGAATAAACTTAACCAACATAATAAGAATTAATTCAATTTTTTCATTAGAAAGTTGTTATCAGTTTCCAAGCAAAAACTATGCATTTATATAACCCTGTTAGTCAAATTTACTTTCATATACTTCAGGGAATAATGTCCACTGCATACCCTCAAAACTAACAATATAGGACACAGCCAATTTTAAAATTAAAATATTTTGAACATTGTCTACTCTGATTATAATTAGCACAGATGTTATTTACTTTTCCTTTATTCTCATCAAATGTAGATTAAAAATAAAACTGAATTTCTGCCATCAAGATAATTAACATTTTATAATATAGTTCCATGTCATTGATATCCAACCTGTTCTTTATTTAAATAAAAATTTATTTCATTTTTTAAAAATTGTATTTTAAAGTTTTCATGCCTATCAAACGCCCATTCTTAGGCACTATCCAATTATTTTCCATATCTAGGTATACATACAACCTGCCCATCCCTTCTCTGCTTGAGTTCCAATTAACTCAGAAATTCAGCAGGCTCCTTATGACTGCAATGTCAGTATCCTTCAAAGTCTTCTGCTCCACGTTGAAGTAACATATTAGTGATCTCAAAATAGTTCTTAAAATTTTCTTTCTATTATGCCCCTTTACAAGCATAAGTTAATTGGCCCAAGGCCAATATTTAAAAAAAAAAAAAAAAAAGGCCACATGACCTAAAAACGAAATGCTGCTTTTTTATAATTTTTAAATGTAATGTTTCCTGTAAGCAGCCTTGATACGTAAAATAGTAACGCTTTTGTGTGTGTTTCTGAGACAGAGTCTTGCTCTGTTGCCCAGGCTGGAGTGCAGTGACGCAATCACAGCTCACCATAGCTTTGATCTCCCGGGCACAAGCAATCCTCCAGCTTCAGCCTCCCATGTAGCTGGGACTACAGGCACATGCCACCATGCCCTGGAAGATTTTTTTTTTTTTTTTGTAGAGATAGGGTCTCACCTTGTTGCCCAGGCTAGTCTCAAAATCCTGGGCCCAACTGATCCTCCCGCCTAGGCATCCAAAAGGGTTGGGATTACAGGTGTTAGCCACCATGCCAGGCTAAAATAAATAGTAACTTTCTAATAACATATATATATATACCTATATGTTTGTACCTATATATGTTCCACATTTTTTGTGTGGATTTTAGACACCCCTAAAATACATTAAATAAACTAGAAGCATTCAAATAACAAATAAAAATAATGATGGACAGTCATGTGATAAGCCAGAAAAACAATGAAGTCAGATGTGTCATTGTGAAAGACTCTTTATCTCCGTGACAGAAGTAATATGAAATGTGCAATAGCCAAAATATTTAAAATCATGTAAGTGAGCTGTGTCCACTTGAAAAACTTGACTCTTTTGCTGTGAATCCATCTGGTCCTGGACTCTTTTTGGTTGGTAAACTATTGATTATTGCCACAATTTCAGATCCTGTTATTGGTCTATTCAGAGATTCAACTTCTTCCTGGTTTAGTCTTGGGAGAGTGTATGTGTCAAGGAATTTATCCATTTCTTCTAGATTTTCTAGTTTATTTGCGTAGAGGTGTTTGTAGTATTCTCTGATGGTAGTTTGTATTTCTGTGGGATCGGTGGTGATATCACCTTTATCATTTTTTATTGCGTCAATTTGATTCTTCTCTCTTTTTTTCTTTATTAGTCTTGCTAGCGGTCTATCAATTTTGTTGATCCTTTCAAAAAACCAGCTCCTGGATTCATTAATTTTTTGAAGGGTTTTTTGTGTCTCTATTTCCTTCAGTTCTGCTCTGATTTTAGTTATTTCTTGCCTTCTGCTAGCTTTTGAATGTGTTTGCTCTTGCTTTTCTAGCTCTTGTAATTGTGATGTTAGGGTGTCAATTTTGGATCTTTCCTGCTTTCTCTTGTGGGCATTTAGTGCTATAAATTTCCCTCTACACACTGCTTTGAATGTGTCCCAGAGATTCTGGTATGTTGTGTCTTTGTTCTCGTTGGTTTCAAAGAACATCTTTATTTCTGCCTTCATTTCGTTAGGTACCCAGTAGTCATTCAGGAGCAGGTTGTTCAGTTTCCATGTAGTTGAGTGGTTTTGAGTGAGTTTCTTAATCCTGAGTTCTAGTTTGAGTGCACTGTGGTCTGAGAGACAGTTTGTTATAATTTCTGTTCTTTTACATTTGCTGAGGAGAGCTTTACTTCCAAGTATGTGGTCAATTTTGGAATAGGTGTGGTGTGGTGCTGAAAAAAATGTATATTCTGTTGATTTGGGGTGGAGAGTTCTGTAGATGTCTATTAGGTCCACTTGGTGCAGAGCTGAGTTCAATTCCTGGGTATCCTTAAGGAGGAACTGGTACCATTCCTTCTGAAACTATTCCAATCAATAGAAAAAGAGGGAATCCTCCCTAACTCATTTTATGAGGCCAGCATCATCCTGATACCAAAGCCAGGCAGAGACACAAACAAAAAAGAGAATTTTAGACCAATATCCTTGATGAACATTGATGCAAAAATCTTCAATAAAATACTGGCAAACCGAATCCAGCAGCACATCAAAAAGTTTATCCACCATGATCAAGTGGGCTTCATCCCTGGGATGCAAGACTGGTTCAATATACACAAATCAATAAATGTAATCCAGCATATAAACAGAACCAAAGACAAAAACCACATGATTATCTCAATAGATGCAGAAAAGGCCTTTGACAAAATTCAATAACTCTTCACGCTAAAAACTCTCAATAAATTAGGTATTGATGGGACATATCTCAAATAATAAGAGCTATCTATGACAAACCCACAGTCAATATCATACTGAATGGGCAAAAACTGGAAGCCTTCCCTTTGAAAACTGGCACAAGACAGGGATGCCCTCTCTCACCACTCCTATTCAACATAGTGTTGGAAGTTCTGGCCAGGGCAATTAGGCAGGAGAAGGAAATAAAGTGTATTCAATTAGGAAAAGAGGGAGTCAAATTGTCCCTGTTTGCAGATGACATGATTGTATATCCAGAAAACCCCACTGTCTCAGCCCAAAATCTCCTTAAGCTGAGAAGCAACTTCAGCAAAGTCTCAGAATACAAAATCAAAGTACAAAAATCACAAGCATTCTTATACACCAATAACAGACAAACAGAGAGCCAAATGATGAGTGAACTCCCATTCACAATTACTTCAAAGAGAATAAAATACTTAGGAATCCAACTTACAAGGGACGTGAAGGACCTCTTCAAGGAGAACTACAAACCACTGCTCATTGAAATAAAAGAGGATACAAACAAATGGAAGAAAATTCCATGCTCATGGGTAGGAAGAATCAATATCGTGAAAATGGTCATACTGCCCAAGGCAATTTATAGATTCAATGCCATCCCCATCAAGCTACCAATGACTTTCCTCACAGAATTGGAAAAAACTACTTTAAAGTTCATATGGAACCAAAAAAGAGCCCGCATCGCCAAGTCAATCCTAAGCCAAAAGAACAAAGCTGGAGGCATCACACTACCTGACTTCAAACTATACTACAAGGCTACAGTAACCAAAACAGCATGGTACTGGTACCAAAACAGAGATCTAGATCAATGGAACAGAACAGAGCCCTCAGAAATAATGCCGCATATCTACAACTATCTGATCTTTGACAAACCTGAAAAAAACAAGCAATGGGGAAAGGATTCCCTATTTAATAAATGGTGCTGGGAAAACTGGCTAGCCATATGTAGAAAGCTGAAACTGGATCCCTTCCTTACACCTTATACAAAAATTAATTCAAGATGGATTAAACACTTAAACGTTAGACCTAAAACCATAAAAACCCGAGAAGAAAACCTAGGCATTACCATTCAGGACATAGGCATGGGCAAGGACTTCATGTCTAAAACACCAAAAGCAATGGCAACAAAAGCCAAAATTGACAAATGGGATCTAATTAAACTAAAGAGCTTCTGCACAGCAAAAGAAACTACCATCAGAGTGAACAGGCAACCTACAAAATGGGAGAAAATTTTCGCAACCTACTCATCTGACAGAGGGCTAATATCCAGAATCTACAATGAACTCAAACAAATTTACAAGAAGAAAACAAACAACCCCATCAAAAAGTGGGCAAAGGACATGAACAGACACTTCTCAAAAGAAGACATTTATGCAGCCAAAAGACACATGAAAAAATGCTCATCATCCCTGGCCATCAGAGAAATGCAAATCAAAACCACAATGAGATACCATCTCACACCAGTTACAATGGCGATCATTAAAAAGTCAGGAAACAGGCCAGGCGCGGTGGCTCACGCCTGTAATCCCAGCACTTTGGGAGGCCGAGGCGGGTGGATCATGAGGTCAGGAGATCGAGACCATCCTGGCTAACAAGGTGAAACCCCGTCTCTACCAAAAATACAAAAAATTAGCCGGGCGCGGTGGTGGGCGCCTGTAGTCCCAGCTACTCGGGAGGCTGAGGCAGGAGAATGGCGTGAACCCGGGAAGCGGAGCTTGCAGTGAGCCGAGATTGCGCCACTGCAGTCCGCAGTCCGGCCTGGGCAACAGAGCGAGACTCCGTCTCAAAAAAAAAAAAAAAAAAAAAAAAAAAAGTCAGGAAACAACAGGTGCTAGAGAGGATGTGGAGAAATAGGAACACTTTTACACTGTTGGTGGGACTGTAAACTAGTTCAACCATTGTGGAAGTCAGTGTGGCGATTCCTCAGGGATCTAGAACTAGAAATACCATTTGACCCAGCCATCCCATTACTGGGTATATACCCAAAGGACTATAAATCATGCTGCTATAAAGACACATGCACATCTATGTTTATTGCGGCATTATTCACAATAGCAAAGACTTGGAACCAACGCAAATATCCAACAATGATAGACTGGATTAAGAAAATGTGGCACATATACACCTTGGAATACTATGCAGCCATAAAAAATGATGAGCTCATGTCCTTTGTAGGGACATGGATGAAATTGGAAATCATCATTCTCAGTAAACTATCGCAAGGACAAAAAACCAAACACCGCATGTTCTCACTCATAGATGGGAATTGAACAATGAGAACACATGGACACAGGAAGGGGAACATCACACTCTGGGGACTGTTGTGGGGTGGGGGGAGAGGGGAGGGATAGCATTAGGCGATACACCTAATGCTAAATGACGAGTTAATGGGTGCAGCACACCAGCATGGCACATGTATACATATGTAACTAACCTGTACATGGTGCACATGTACCCTAAAACTTAAAGTATAATAATAAAAAAAAGAGTTCTACAAATGTTTAGGTTGCACTACTACTGTTTGAATAAAGATATTGCTTGATAACTAAAAAAAGAAAGAATGAATAAATGTATACTTAATTATTTAATACCTTCCTTCTCCATCCCACAAGATGTGAGCTCCATAATGGAAGGGCTGTGTTTGCCTTGGTTTCTGCTGTATATCCTGGTTTTGTACAGTACACTATGCCTATGTAGCTGCTAAATGAAAAAATAAAGGATTAACTAAACTTATTAAAAAAAAAAGAAAAACTTGACTCTTTCACGACAGATGGTGAACAGTAAGGCTATTCTCAACTTATATCAATAATGGGGTAGAAAAGTTGGCAGTGCGGTAACACTGAGCAACAGAGACACACGAATTTATTGAGTGTCTAGTTCACTGGTAAATAAAATGAAAGAAATTCTGTAAAAATGTTTTCTTGACATATTTTTCATAGCAATCTACTGGCATTTTCTGTTCTATCCATTAAGTTACTAAACATGATGATTTCCCAGGGGTCATTTCTATATCACACTGAGACACTTGGCTCTTGTTACCTGAATCTGGAAAGAGCTTAGACTTGTGTCAAAGCACATTCTAATTTACCCTTTATCACTATCCTTTTTAAAGAAAGTTTTCAAAGTATAAAAAGTATATTCACTTAACAACAAGTTTTACAGGTTAAAATTAGCATTAAAACAAAAATTTAAATAGTAATAGTTTAAAAGTTCATGTGTTCAAAACAAAATTAAACTTTGGCTTCCAAATTGCTAAAATGAATTTGGACAAAGCATTGTTTTAATCTACTATAGTAAATATTTGTTTTTCATTCAAAACAGATAATCCAAAACAAGTCGATTTTATCAGCTAATAACTGATAATACTGAAATGAAAATAAATAAGGTTTAATTTTACGTTTTGCAATGATGTGTTACTCTAACTAAACTGACTGGATAAAATATGTGTATTTTAGTTTTTTGTAATCTCATGCTCTATATATTTTATTGCTTTTATAAATAAATAAATCTAGAATTAAAGTTGGACAAACTGTATAACATCAAGTAATTATAAAACTATGTTAAAATATTTAAGAATGAATTTGTGAATATAACTTTTGCTTCTTTAAAATAAAAAGGAATGACTTTATAATATGCTTAAAATATTGCTTATCTGTTTTTCTCTCTCCAGAATTAAAAAAAAACATATAAGCATATATAAGTTTAAAGTAATATAAATTATAGTTCCTGCCTAAATTTTTACCCATAACTCACTTCTTAGAACACACAGAGTTACCACTGAAATCAAAGTTAGTTACATGTTTACTGAACTGTATTGGCTGAGGTTTTGAAAATATCTACAGGCTGTATGTATGGTATCTATCCTTTTTCATCGAATAGACTATGATTTCATCATTATATTTTATAACCACTTTTTAATCCAGAAATGCAAAATATGAGAGCTGCAAAAGTAAATATTCCACCATCCTTATGAATATTTCATTACACAATATGTTTATTTAGTTACAATTTTTTTGGAAGAGCCAAACTAATTCATTGCACATTTATTTAGTACATCTACTGTCACTATTGTAGTAGGTTGAATGGTGCTCCGCCACCCCGCCCCCCAACCAAAATATATTCATGTCCAAATCCCTGGAACCTGTGAATATTACATTATTTGAAAAAGTCTCATTACAGATGTACTTAATTTAAGGACTTCTATGGTTTAGATATGGTTTATTCGGCCATGCCAAGTCTCATGTTAAAATTGATTCCCAGTGTTGAGGTGAGGCCTGGTGGAAGGTGTCTGGGATGTGGAAGCAGATCCCTCATGAACAGCTTGGTGTGCAGGAGTGAGTCCTCACTATTAGTATCCGGGATAACTGGTTGTTGAAAAGAGACTAGCACCTCCTCTCTCTCTTCTCCTTTCTCGCCCTGTAATGTCTGCTCCTCTCTGCCTGTCACCATAACTGGAAGCAGTCTGAGGCTCTTACCAGATGCAGATGCCAGCACTATGCTTCTTGTACAACCTGCAGAACTATGAGCCAAATAAACCTCTTTATAAATTATCCAGCTTCAGGTATTTCTTTACAGCAACACAAATGAACTATGGAAAGGATCTTGAGATGGGATCATCCTAGATTACCCAGATGGGCCCTAAATCCCATAACAAGTGTCCTTCTAAGAAACAGGAGAAAAGACACAGACAAAAGCGGAGCAGGTGATGTGAAGACGGAGGCAGAAATTGCAGTGAAGTGGTCACAAGTCAATGAAGTCAAGGGATGCCCACAGCCAACACAAACTGAAAGAGACAAGGAAAAATTCTCTTCTAGAACCCTCAGAGAGAGCATGGCCTGGATTATGCCTTGACTTCAGACTTCTAGCCTCCAGAACTGTGAGAATTAAAAGAGTGTTGTTTTAAGCCACAGAGGTTGTGGAAACTTGTTAGAGCAGCCTCAGGAAACGAATATAGCTGTAGACAGTCAAAGTGATTAGAGGATGATATAAATCAGGAAATGTGACTGACATGACTGCAATTTGCACAAATCCAAGAGGGTATGGTGCCTACATAAGGATCCTACAACATAGTTTCCATATTTTGTATAATTGAAACTGCTGTGCTGTTTTGATTGCGTTCTCTCTCTCCCTTCCTCTCTCTCTCTCCACCCCCACTTTGCTCTCTTGCTCTCTATTGCTGTATGATCCCAAAGAGCATGATGTTATTTTTATGGGTATTTATCTACTGATACTATACAGGTATTGATCCCTCATTCTGTCTTCAGCATTGCTGGAAATGCAACACAAATGAACTAAGGAAAGGATCTTGAGATGGGATCATCCTAGATTACCCAGATGGGCCCTAAATCCCATAACAAGTGTCCTTCTAAGAAACAGGAGAAAAGACACAGATAAAAGTGGAGAGAAGGATGAGTCCAGTTGAGAATGAGTTCCTATTACCGGTGAAGAAACCATTCCAATTGCATCCAGTACATACTAAAGGAATTCAAATCCCTTTAGGGATAGAAATTACTGCTTCTCCAACCTCTGTTCTATTCCTTCTTTCATACTCACAGAAACATGATTTACTTGGAAGAAATTCGTGGAGATTCTGGGATCTCACAGAGAATGGAATCCTTCCCAGTCACTTCTCAGTTACCTACCACAGAAAAACATTCCTAACAGATACACAAGTGAGAATTGCAAAGTGAGAAATCAATACGGGTTACAGGAAACACAAGATCTAAGACCAGAGGTGTGTAAAAGGCTGGATACATTTTGGAGATCTGAAAGGGAAAGGAAAGCGTACTCTAGACAGACAAGCCTGGATTAAAGCTTTGGGGTGAGAATAAGCACAACATGTGTGACCTGGAATAGAGAAGACCGCCCTGCCTCCTAGAGAGAAGAAGCATGGATGTGATGGGATATTAAACCCAGGCACAGGTTTCATGGAGGGAAAGGAAAGAATGTCTTACGGGACCAGTTTTCATTGGTTCTCTCATTTCCAGAATAAGAATACAACTAAGTGTGAATTAATAGTTTTAACTCTTAACCTACCACTACCCACCAAAGAGTCAGAGAGCACTAGAGTCATTTGGTGAAACAAACAGAGAAGACTAAAAAAAAAAAAAAAAAATCACAGTCTGAAAATTCAAGTAACTTAAAAATATGCTAATCTTCCTCTTCTAACAGCTCTATAAATTCTCAGAAATTTTAAAAGTACGACAACTTGCTTGAGCATTCTGGCTACAGAATATCAGACTGGTGATTATCACTCTGTAGGAACTTAACATTGATCAGTATTTTCAGTGGTTTTTTTTTTTTGACGATCTTATAAATAAGACTTAGTATAACTAACTTATTGTGTTAAGATAGGCAAAGATGCAGAATGCTAAAATGTTTCTGGAAAAAAAAATCCCTAACCATTCTGTTTCTAATTTGTCTTATTTTAGTTTTGTTTTTCTTGGTAGCTGAGTACTTGCACAATTCCTCCCAACACACTTAAACACTAAATTATGAAATGAAATAGTTTCAAAGGTCCTCAGTCTTAAGCTGTCCTTTAAAGAACATCTCAAGCTTTGACAAAAACCATGGCCAATCTGTACAGTGGTTTTAATTCTTCGTTTTTACTATTGAGAAATGTATAGCTCATTCTTTTTCAAGAGCTTCTAGTAAAGCTTTAAAAGCAACCAATAATGTTGTAACATTTTAAATATTGGATTAAAACTCTAGATATTTTCTTATTTAGATTTATGTCTAGAGAAAGAAAAAACAGGTGAGTAGATATGAAACATATCTAAATCTTGTTGAATTCTAGCAGTTGAAGATCTGCTTCAAATAAATATATTTTCTTAAAAAAAGGTATCTCACAAGAACACTATACCCAGGTATGTTTTATTTTATTTTTAAGTATGTTACTTAAAGGTTTAAAAAATTCTGTCCACGTAATCTTGAAAATAAATTACTTGAAGATGTCTGTGAGCTTAATGAGACATGAATAACAATGCAATAATGAGGTAGTTATTGCATAAAGAAATTGCAGGTCCTTTCCTAATTCCTTGTGGACCTCAAACTTAGGAAGCCAAGTGGATTTGCAGGCTTGCCCCTTCCCCCTACATGACCAGTGCTGTCCTCTGAGCCACTGCCTCCCTTAACCTCTCCGAGTCTTTTACCCATACCCAGCATTAGATGATGGTGGTTATCATATTTGAGATGTCTTAAAATCACTGCTGTGGTTTCCTACCAGTTATTACTAACAATGGCTAAATCATTGCCACTGTTACAACACCACACTGAAAGAATTACTAAGCAAAAGTAATTTTCTTCTACTGCAACAAAAACAGAAAAACAAAGATCAATGTAATGGATTTTTTTCTGCCAAGGAATTTAAATAATACAACTGTCCCTCAGTATTTGTGGGGGATGGATTCCAGGAACCCTCAGGGAGATAAAAATCCTCAGATGTTCCAGTATCTTATATAAAATGGCATGATATTTGCATACAACCTATGTATAACCCCCGCCCCCCGCCACTTTACATCATCTCTAGGTTACTTCTAATACAGAATACAATGTAAACAGTTGTTATACTCTATTGTTTCTTATTAATATTTTGTATTACTTTATTGTCTTTCTTGTTCAAATATTTTCAATATCTGGTTGCTTGAATACCTAGATGTGAAACCTGTGGACAAGGAGAGTTGCCTGTAATTTACAGCATCTTTAATATTCTTATCAAATTATTGAGATTCTCCTTTTATTTATTTATTTCTTCTATTTGGAAATACATCTATCATCACC
Organism: Homo sapiens; assembly: GCF_000001405.40. Classification (NCBI taxonomy): domain Eukaryota; kingdom Metazoa; phylum Chordata; class Mammalia; order Primates; family Hominidae; genus Homo; species Homo sapiens. Next base: position 84,214,680 of record NC_000005.10, read on the forward strand.
CCTCTCTTTGTATCATCCTATAAGGAAGAACTAAGTGTGGTTTGTTTTTTTTTTTAGAGACAGAGTCTTGCTATGTCACCCAGGCTGGAGTGCAGTGGTGCAATTTCGGCTTCACTGCAACCTCCACCTCCTGGGTTCAAGCAATTTTCCTGCTTCAGCCTCCCGAGTAGCTGGGACTACAGGCGCATGCTGCCACACCTGGCCAATTTTTTGTGTTTTAGTAGAGATGGAGTTTCACTGTGCTGCCCAGGGTGGTCTCGAACTTCTTGAGTTCAGGCAATCTGCCCACCGTGGCCTCCCAAAATGCCAGGATTATAGGCGTGAGCCACCGCACCCGGCCCTATGTGTGTTCTTGAATTAATAATGCAATAAAGTCAGCATAAAATCTGTATGGCTTAATATATTCATTAATTTGATCATACAACAAATATTTATGAAGCATCTACTATGTATCAAACACTTGTTCTAGAAGGAGGGGATTCAGTCGAGAACAAAATAGACAAAAAATATGCCAGCCCTTAGGAGTTTATATTTAGCCTGGACAGAAATAAATAAGCTACATAAGTAAGATGAGCAGATTTTTTTTTTTCTTGAGACGGAGTTTTGCTCTGTCGCCCAGGCTGGAGTGCAGTGGCACAATCTCGGCTCATTGCAAGATCCACCTCCCGGGTTCAGGCCATTCTCCTGCCTCAGCCTCCCGAGTAGCTGGGACTACAGGCGCCCGCCACCACACCTGGCTAATTTTTTGTATTTTAGTAGAGATGGGGCTTCACTGTGTTAGCCAGGATGGTCTCGATCTCCTGACCTCGTGATCCGCCCTCCTGGGCCTCCCAAAGTGCTGGGATTACAGGCGTGAGCCACCACGCCCAGTTAAGATGGGCAGATATTTTTAAAAAAATTAATAATATTAAAAATACGCAGGCAAAAGACTGACAAAGTGGAGAATGTGTGAACTTTTTAGAGACAAAGGAAGGCCTCTCTGAGAATGCACCTTCATGTGAAGACATGAAGGATGTGACTGAGTAGTCATGCAGACACATGCAAGGGAAGTCCTTCAGGCAATCCACCTGTGAGTGCCAAGCCCTGCCTGTAAGAACAATGTGTCCAGGGTTTATGTTTGTGTTTGCTTTATAGAAAAGGAAGGACAGGGTGGCAGCAGTAGAAACTGAAGCCAGAAGGGCAATGGTGGAAGTTGCAAAATATATAAAGTTTCTATCCTAATTTTAATGTAGGGCCAGATGAGAGGTACTAGAGGGCCTGGGCAGAAGAGTGATGGGCACTCACAGCCTTGTAAAAGAATTAGGCTGCCGGCTCTTTTGAGAAGAGACTGAAGAGGGGCCTGGAGTACCAGCAAATCCATGAGTGAGAAGATGCTGCCTTGGACTGTCTGATTACAGTTTGGATATATTTTTTAAATGAAGCTAAAAAGACCTGGTGGACTAAATGTAGAGATGGGTGTCATCAACATAGACCTTAATGATTTTGGTTTGAGCCATTGACAGGAAGCCTGTAAGAGGAGCTAGATTAAGGAAGAATATATATTTTTAATGCAAGTATGTAAAATGGATGAAGGCAGTCAGGGAGATTTTCATTTCCGATTCTATTCTTTTCCACAATGTTTATGTGATTCATAAACTACTGTAGTGATCAGAGAGGCATTTAAAATAATATATAAAGTTTTACACATATTAGAATGTACAATTTTATAATATATGCATAACAAAAAAGTTGAATAACTCTATATGACTTTTACAATTCCAAAAAATATATGACATTTAAAACTGTTTATAAGTGAATAAAAAGGCTGAGTTTGCTGCTGTAAGATAAGCACAAGTTTTTCCAGAGAAGCTTGAACTTGAATCCTGATTCTGTTACTTGCTTATTATGTAACCTTGTACACATTTCTTCATATACTTTAACATTTAGTGTTCTCCTCTTTAAATTATGTATATGCAGCATTTGGCAGTATTTGTTAATTGTGAAAATTAAGCAAAATACTCTACATAGAGGCCTCTGCATATTGACTGAATAAAAAAATCATAATCGAAATCACAATATTAATATGGCAAACAGCAAAGAGAATAATGAAAGTAAAAATAGCAGCTTAGATTTCCTGTGCAGTCCCTATTACAGGATGAGCAACATTGTGGTGAGCCCTTTACATGTATTGTTGAGTGCGATCTTTACAGCATACCTCTAAGGTAGGTGCCCTTATTGTCCCATTTCACAGAGGAGGAAAAGTTAACTTGTAGAAAGAAAATACTTCATAGGCAGTAGACAGCTAGTTATCGCAAGACAAAAGCCCCTGAAGTTCAGACCTGAAGGCCCATGGCATTTTATCTTATCCATCCTATCCAGAAAGTTGAATGCCTTCCCTGAGCCAGGAAATCTCCACAACAGTAAGTAAATACCTCTTCATACTCTTATAATATTTAACATTGGAGTAAATCCAAGGACAGCCAAAAAAAAAAAAAAAAATGACTCAGGCAAATGGAGATGGTCTTAAAGATGAATCCAGCTAATGCAGGGAGGATTAGAAATTAAAGAAACCTCTAAGTCTGCACAGATAGGGGCCAACATTAATTATGATTAAACATTGGAAATAATGTTCAATCTATTTTCTCTGAAATAGGTTCTTTGGTAAATAAAACAGTTTGTGTTTATATTTTTTCTGGTTCTCTGAGATAGTTAAATTTTACACGTCAATTTGACTAGGCTACGGTGCCCAACTTCTTGGTCAAATGCTAGTATAGATATTGCTGTGAACATATTTTGTCGATGTGATTAACATCTACAATCAGTTGACTTTAAGTAAAAAAGATGACCCTTGATAATAGAGTTGGGTCTCATCCAGTGAATTGAAAGCCTTAAGAGCAAAAACTGATTTCCCTGAGAAGAGGAGCCTCAAGAGTCTAACACAGAAATCCTCCCTGAATTTCCAGCCTCTTTGCCCTACACATTTTAGACTTGCCAGCACTCAAAATCACATAAGCCAATTCCTCAAAATAAATCTACTTACCCATCTATCTATTATACACACAAACACACACACACACACACACACACACACACACACACACACACATCCTTCTGGTTCTGTTTCTCTGGAGAACTGTAGAACCCTGAGAGATAAACTCTCCTTTTCTTTTTAAATCAGTTTCCATTTATATAATTTTATTCCCTTTAATAACCGTATTTTTATTACTTTTTTAACTTTGATGCTTTTCCAGTGCTTGGTGTTACTTTGGGTTTAATTTCTGGCTTGTCTCCTAACATTCTAAAGGTCAACAGCACACAATCTAAGTATTCATAATTCAAAATGAAAAGAAAATCATGAAATTTCAGAAGACATTTAATCAAAATTTGATTTACACCTCTAGGACTATCTTTCAACATTATAACAGAAGTTTTAAAAAGTTGAATTTCTAACGCTGTAGCAACATATAAACAAATATTAAGTCACTTTTTTTCCCCCAAGCTTAAAAATGTGACTAAATGTGAATGGTTATTCTCTAAAGATAAAATTTTGTGTTTTGGCTGTATGTCATTCTTATTTCTAATAAGATAATATCAACCTAACATACCTAATGACAGTATTTAATACTCTTAGGAATGTTCTAGGCAACGCAGTTTAACAATTTTGTCAGTTTTTAAAATGTGAGAGAGAAGGATTATAGTCAGCAGTTCCTCAGAAATAAGGCTGAGTAAATTTAGTTGTTCCTATAGAAACCAATCATTAAAGTTTAAAAAGAAAGGATCAGGGATGGAGGCAGAGCCAGGTGGCTGAATAGAAGCCTCCACCAATTGTCCTCCCTGCAAGAACACCAGACCGAACAACTATCCACACAACAAAGCAAACATCATAAGAACCAAAAATCAGCTTAGGTAGCAGCTCAGCCACAGTTGGGTAGAGCACCAAGCAGGCTCCTGAGAGCCCGATTCCAGGCCTTGGCTCTTGGACGGTGTTTCTTGACCTGTACTGGACCAGAGGGGAGACCGCTGCCCTGAAGGGAGAGTCCCAGGCCTGGCAGCACTCACCACAAGTTGATGACTCAAGGGCCCTGGGGCCTCGAATGAACATTGGCTGTAGCCAGGCAGTACTCACTGTGAGCCTGGGGCAGTGGTGGCCATGGGGAGAGAGTCCACTGGTTGTGGAAAGGGGAGGAAAGGGTGGGAAGGACTTTGTCTTGTGCCTTCTGTGCCAGCTCAGCCACAGCAGAAGAGAGTACCTCGGGACCAGGAGGGAATTTGCCACCCTGAAGCAAACGACACAAGCCTGGCTGGCTTTGTCACCTGCTGATTGTAGACCCCTAAGGCCTTTAGCAAACATACAAGGTAGCCAGGCAGTGGTTACTGTGGGCCTTGAGTGAGATCCAGTGCTGTGCTGGCTTCAGGTCTGACCCAGTGCTATCCCAGTGTTGGTGGCCACAGAGGTGCTTGTGTCACCCCCTCCCCCAGCTCCAGGCAGCTCAGAGCAGAGAGAGAGAGACTGCGTTTGTTTGGGAGAAAGTAGGGGAAGAGATCCTGAGAATTCTTCTGCATATTATCCAAGACCATACAAGTCAATAATGAGGGGAATTTTGGAAACTACACAAATACATGGAACTTAAACAAAATGCTCGTGAATGACTAGTGAGTCAGTGAAGAAATTAAGAAGGAAATTTAAAAAATTCTTGAGAAAAATGATAATGGCAAGTAGGTCTATGAAAAGGTGCTCATAGCATTGATCATCAGAGAAATGCAAATCAAAATTACAAAATATAGGCAATATTATTACAAATGCCAGTGAGGACGTGGAGGAAAGGCAACCCTTGTATTATACACTGTTGGTGGGAATGTATTTATCAGTACAACCACTATGGAAAACAATTTGGAGGTTCCTCAAAAAACTAAAATAGAACTACCAGATGATCCAGAAATCCCACTGCTAGGTATATACCCAAAGGAAAGGAAATCAGTATATCGAAGAGACAGCTGCACTCCCATGTTTATTGCAGCACAATTCACAATAGCCAAGATTTGGAAGCAAACTAAGTGTTCATCTACAGATGAATGGATTTTTAAAGTGTGGTACATATGGACAATGGAGTACTATTCAGTCATAAAAAAGAATGAGATCCTGTCATTTGCAATAACATGGATGGAGCTGGAGATCATTATGTTAAATGAAATAAGCCAGACACAGAAAGATAAACTTTGCATATTCTCACTTATTTACAGGAGCACTTATTTACGGAGATAGAGAGTAGAATGATGGTTACCAGAGGCTGAAAAGGGTAGTGCAGGGGGTAGTGGGGTGGGGAGTGGGGATGGTTAATGAGCATAAAAATATAGGTAGATAGAATGAATAAGATCTAAAGTTGGATAGCACAGCAGGGTAACTGCAGTCAACAATAATTTATTGTACATTTAAAAATAACTAAAAGAGTATAATTGGATCATTTCTAACACATAGGGTAAATGCTTGAGAAGATGGATACCCCACTTTCTGTGATGGGATTATTACACATTGTATGCCTGAATGAAAATATCTCATATGTGCCATGAATATATACACCTACTATGAACCCACTAAAATTAAAACTTAAAAGAAATAAAAGATCAGTTCAGTACAGACAGTGCACATCCAGTTTTGACAAACTTGAAAATATGTTTATACAGAACAGGATAAAATAAAGGCTATGGGGTAGTTGGGATTTTAAAAGTTACAACGCATGACAATGCACATATGAATATAAATTTTAGTATTATTGAGATGTACACCAAATTTAGTTCTCAATAATCACATTTTCAGGGTCTCATAGAAGTTTTTATAAAAATGGATGAAAAACATAGCAAAGTATAGAAAAATAACCATGAAGGTAGTTAAAGTGAAAAAGAGATGTTATGACCATGATTTCCAATTGATGATTGGTGACCTTCATTGATTGGTGACCTAGTATGCATTTCTTTGATTCTGTTCTTAAGGAGTACCCTCATTTTTGTTCATGTATCAACACCTTAGTCCCATAGCTCATAATCTTCAAAGAAAGCTAAAATAAATCTCATACTCCATGGGACAGTCTTGATTGGCTGAGTTTTTCAACAAAAACAGAAGGGATCTAAGTCTGTCCAGCCAGAGTGATCTTGGGACTCTTGCTTTGAAAGCATTTTTGTGCCCTCTCTGGTCATGCATAAGGATGCATATGGCCACAGTAGCTGTTGGCAGACATATTACAGCCATGGAGAAACCAGTGTTAATACTAAGATAAATTTTCGCCACAGAAGATAGAACAGAAATATTGGAAAGGAATAACAGAAACCAGACTTTTAGAAATATCATTGAGCCAACCATTCTCAACTCTGTGTGAGTTGTTATTTAATCTATATTTAAATGATATTTAATCTATATTAAATTGAATTTTCTGTTACCTAGAACTAAGGAATCAGGTCACAATACATAATAACTATTTTTGAATATATGTGTTGATAGATATTAACACATGCAACTGAAAACATAATGGTCTTAAGGCTGTACCATGAGAGATTAAAATTTTATTTAACAATAAGATTTTATTATTTTAATTGTTTATGCCAAGTCTGATTTTACAGTCTGGGGGCAAGATGATAGATTATACAACTACATTCATAGATATGTATGTCAAGATGTAAAGATATTATTTTTCACTCCTGTGATAGTTTAATTCTTAAACCTGTCTAAAGAGAAAGATGAGTATACAATTTTCCAAAGTGCCTACTGGCACCATGATCCTGTTCTACAGCAAAGTTTATTTTAGTAAAAATATGAAAAAACACATCCATATAACAGGAATTTAAATTACAATTATTTGTCTCACAGTTAAACATCACTATCACACACCTATCAAAAAGGAAGTTTAATTTTTAAAAAAAGGAAACGTAAGCACTATTTGGTCTTTCCACTAATGTCTTGGTAAACTGACCAAAGCCACATCTTTAGAAGCAGTGATTGTTTTTTCCCTGTTCCTCTGAGAATCTACAAATAATTACTTCTATCTCATTTTTAAATATTGTAGCATTTTTTTGGTTTTTATATATTAGGTTTTAATATTTGAGCCTGATTAAAGTATATTTATGAACAAGAATATACTCGATAAAACAATTAGTAAAGTTGCTCCAGGCACTAGAGGGAAAATATGTATTTATGTATAAAACAAGAGATAAATTTGTAGCAAATGTAAGGTAAACAAAAATGAGAATGTGAAGTTCTATTTCAGACCCCAAGGAAATAAAATACTAAAATCAGAATGCACAACCAACCCTTGTTCATTAGAAAATAATGTGATAAAATATCATTTATTTTCAAAATGCGTGAGTTATAGAATAAATTGAGCATAGTCAGCCATGCAGAATTAAACTCCACAAGAAAACAAGAAAGAAATCTAAAAGATATCTGTAGCATGGGTAAGAAAATAAAAAATTCACCATAAACAGAAATGATGTTTTTGTGTAACTAAAATTAAATATTTCAAAAGCTAGAGAAAATATCTAATTACTCTGTTTCCTGTATGTATACACAAAATACATATTTGTTTTATGAATGACTTTTAACTTGCTAATATAAAACCACAGCTTCAACTCTTTACTACTGCTAGCCCATATTCTATTATTAACCTTTGTATATGAAAATAGTATTTTTCTTAGGTGTACTTCTTCAATGTCAAAGCTAGTAATGTAAATGATTAAAATATTAAAAGATTTAAAGGGAACTGGTGAATGTATGGATGCATTGGTAAGCCAAATCACCATTTTCTTCTTCTCTATGGACATCACAGAGTTCATAATAAATATTTTATAAGCTATATGTCCAGTGACCTCTATCATCACTACCAGTTGGAATCAACTGATAAGAGGTCACATACACAGCTTTACATTTAAGTAAATTACAATAATTTTAACTTTATAAATATATGAAGAACAGTATGGCTTTTGTATTTTGATGTTTTAATATGATTGTCAAAAGGATTATCTTTTTGATATCCTAACATGTGTGAGATGCCATCTCATTATGGTTTTCATTGGAATTTCACTCAGTGATGTTGAGCACCTTATCATACATCTATTCGCCATTCTCATGTCTTCTAGAGAAATGTCTATTCAGGATCTTTGCCCTCTCTTTAATTGGTTTATTTAACTATTTGCGATTGACTCATATGAGTTACCTATATATTTCGGATATTAATCCCTTACAAGATTTATGGTTGGCAAATATCTTCTCACAATCTGCAGGCCATCATTTCATTTTCTTGATTGTTTCCTTTGTTGTGCAGAAGCTTTTTAGACTGATGTGGCCCCACTTGTTTATTTTTGCTTTTGATACCTGAGCTTTTGCTGTGACATCCAAAAAATCATAGTCAAGGGGGTATTCCTCTACATTTTTTTCTTCTAGGAGTTTTATGGTTTCAGAGCTTATGTTTAAGTTTTCAATCTATTTTGAGTTCATTTTTATATGTTATATAAGACAAGGTCCAGGGAATCTTTGAACACTCTTTGTGGGAATGTAATCTGGTGCAGCCATTATGGAAAATAGTATGGAAGTTCCTCAAAAAAAATTAAAAGTCTAATAACTATATGACCTAGCAACCCCTCTTTTCAGTATATGCCCAGATGAAATAATATCATACAGATATCTGCACTCCCATGTTCACTGCAGCATTATTTACAGGAACCAACTTTTAATCAACCTGAGTGTCCATTGATTAATTAATAGATAAGAAACTTATATAATGGAATATTATTAAGCCTTATAAAAGAAGGAGATTCTGTCATTTGTGACAATGTGGATGAACCCGGAGGAATTATGCAAAGTTTAAAAAGCCAGACACAGAAAGAAGAATACTGAATGATCTCACTTACATATGAAATCTAAAACAATAAAATTTGAATACATAGAAATAGAGCAGAATAGTGGTTACTGGGGTGGGTGTAAGGAATGGGGGAAATATAAGTCAAATGGTACAAAGTTCTTATGTAGGATGAATAAGCCTGGAGATCTAATGTACAGTATGAGTACTATGGCAATAATATTGTATTACGTAATAGAAATTTGCTGAGAGAGTAGATTGTCAGTGCTCTTACCACACACATGAAGATAACAATATGAGGTGATGGATATGTAAATCTATCTGACTATAGTAATCATTTTACTATATATATGTATTTAACACATCACATTGTATACCTTAAATTTATACAAAAAAGAACAAAATATTTTTACCATTTACATATATCTGAAAAATCCCTTTTTAATATTTTCATTATTATATGAGTTAATCTAATATTAATAGCTACTTATATAGAAATCCAAACTCAGTTCCACTTGTAGTATTAAAAAAAATGACAAAGTAATTAAAAACCTCCTCTTAGGCAAGAGAAGGAAAAAATAAAATGAAAGCTTTATATTTGAGGTGATATGAACAAAACAATAAGTTACGGTTGTAGTTCATTTTAACCAGCGACTTATTGTATAGCTGCAAGATCTCTACTGTATCATTTTCTAAGTGATTTTGGTCCCATCCACTAATTTCAGATTCCCAGCCCTGTATTAAATGATTTCCTTGAGGAATGAATGAATGATTTCCTTGTGATAAATGAATATTTCTAAATATCTAAAATTATAGCTAATAAGACCAAATAAACTAAAAGCAATGAGGAAATTGTGAGAATAAACTTGATTTGCTACACCTTATAGTTAAATTATATTTTATATGGATTAGTTTATTTTTAGCAGTCAATATTCAAATTTATATGTCTTTTTTTTCCAAGGGACATAGAAATAAGTATTGTTATAGTCAGTTTATGAAGTATCTATTATGAAACTTAAATAAAAGCTAAATGAAAATTGGATTTGTGCAACATAAGGAAAGCAATCACTGACAACTTTGTTAAAAGGTGTTATTTGATTTTACCTTTCAAAAATACATATCATATGTTCAGGTGAATGTTGTTAATTTCAAAGTTGTAATCTTATCTGTATTTCATACCCCCTCACATTCTTCATATTTGCAAAGCTTTGTTTTTAAAGGCATATATATTAGACCAAAGTCAGATAAATATAGTAGCACAGTTCAGAGACTATAATAGTTTATATTGTAATCCCATAAGCAGATTCAGAAGGAAGTTTCAAAAAAATAGTTTCCAAAAATTATTTGTGCAATATCAACATACTTAGATTAAATATATCACTTCTAAAAGTGATTCATTTTGGGGTACAGTATCTGCTTTAAAAATGTGAATCTCATTAGTTTGTAATTAGATCTTAAAATATAACTCAGCTTGAAGAAATTTCTCTATAGTTCATTGATGTGTTTTTATACTCAATAAAACAAGATGTTTAAATATCTGAATTTAAGATTCAAGTAGGATAAATAAAAAGAAGCTTCTGGTAGCTAAAGAAGCAGGTGTTAACTGAATCTACCCTGATAACTCAGATGTTATGAAATATGGTCTTTTAGGCTAATACATCCTACCAGAACATTCAGAACTGAAAGTGATTAACAAGCCAATGCTTCCCAATCAATAAGGGGATGCATGCCTACTATTAGAAATGCAGATAAGATGTATCATGCATCCCCTCTACGAGTCAACATTTTAAAACACTTATTAAGAACTTGCTATTTGCAAGGCAATTTAGAAGTTCGAATAAAAGAATGTGGGTACGTATGAAGAAATAACCAAAGACAGAATGTGATTGTCTAAAGTATAAGAATATTTTCATTCTGACATTTATTTTATTAAATATAATCTCAGTTACATGGGAACAAAGTGGAGGGATCACTTATCTGTTTTAACGAGGCAGTTTTTCAATAATTCAAAATATAAGGCAAATCAATTGTATTCCATTGTAAAGAAAAAAATCCATATTATTTTGTAGCATTATAACACAAGTAAAACACTATCTAATGTCTCCCTAATTTTCTCGTTTATTATTTGTCTTCCTGATTTTTTTCATTCTATATGTTATTGAAGATAAACATCTATTATTTACTTTAAAAATAGTTCTAAACAATGAGAATAGATCATAACTATTGAATTATAATCGACCCAACTCTGTGTGCCTATAGAATTAAAACAACCTAGATTTGTCATACAATATCAATACATTAAAAATGTTTACTAAATAGTATGAGTGGTAATATCCACTAGGAACTTACATTTTTAGATAAGTCATGTATAGATTTGTTCAAAAAATTATGCTTTTAAAATTCAAAATTCATACATTAACAACTATTAATCAGGATGCTGTGATTTTTGGCAGTAAAAAACGCTATTTATTGTATTATTTATTCTATTACTTTACTTTGAGAAGTGGCTTATCTCCAATTAGAAAAATAAATATTTAATTTAAAGAAATTAACATATATATTTGAAGAAGACACTGTCCAATCTGGAAGAGTATGAACCTGGTAAAGATATTATATGGGGATATGTGAAAGCTGAATTAACGTACATTTTTTTCTGGCAAACAAAAGATTTCATTTCACTGATAACTGAAACAAAATGGTGAAATAACAGGAAAGAGACATAAGTTAAAAGAGGACCACAAAAATAAATCTCAGCTTGGAAAATACCATTCTGCATCAATTCTATTGGTGAAAGGAGATGAGAGTGAAAACAGAATATTAATGCTGTAATAAACAAACATGAATAACAGCTATAAATTAAAGATATATATCTGATATATATGATTACTGAAAAATATAAGTGAACAGGATAATAACTATTCCTTTAAAAAATTAAGTGTTGAAAAATTCAGGGCAAGAGATACTAAAATGAACTCAAAAATCTCAATCCAATTTTCATAATTATTCGTATTCCTTATGAAATCAATTATTTGCAAATCTGATAATATTTTGCCAAATGTTTTAATTTACTCTTTTTATTATATAGGTTGATAAAATTAAAAGGAAAACATTTGTTTCCCATTGTCTGCTTTTTATACAAAAGGAGTGTCTACTTTACTAAATGACACATTTTCTCAATGTTAATATAATCCATATGTGAAATTATGTAGCTAAATATTCCTTAAGAGCACATTTGTTCTATTTTAAAAATCTATGCTAAAATCACAACAAAAACATCTGCTCATATCTAGAAATGAAAGTATTTTTAAAACATAATTTAAATTCTATGATGTGCACATCACTCTGGAGGAAGATGAGTATTTTGAAGAAAAAATGTTCAGTTGCATTTCACAAAAAGGCCTTCTTAGTGAGGAGAGAAGTTATGAAAATAGATTTAGAATAAGAAAAGTACACAAGTAGCTATATTATACTTAAATATAGCATACACTGGGTTACAATTCATTTTCTTCGTACAAAACAATAATTTTGCTAAAGCACCAACACTGCTTGGCAGATGACTTAGTAAGGTGTGGGCAGCAGACAGGAGAAATGAAAATGAATTGGGCTAGAAAATGATGGCTGCTGTCAAGGATTGACACCCAGAGAGAAAGTCCAATTAAAGTTAAGAAATATGGACAGAAGAAGTCCTAGCCAGAGAAGTCTAACATCCAGAATCTATAAGGAACTTAAATCAACAAGGAAAAAAACAACCCCAGTAAAAATTGGGCAAAGGACATGGACAGACACTTATCAAAAGAAGATATACAAGAAGCCAACAAGCATGTGAAAAAAATGCTCATCATCACTTAACAGAGAAATTCAAATCAAAAACCACAATGAGATACCATCTCACACCAGTCAGATACTATTAAAAAATCAAAAAACAACAGATGCTGGCAAGGCTGTGGAGAAAAGGGAACACTTACTCACTGTTGGTGGGAATGTAAACTAGTTCAGCCACTATAGAAGGCAGTTTGGAGATTTCCCAAAGAACTTAAAACAGAGCTACTGTAAGATCCAGCAATCCCATTACTGGGTATGTACTCAAAGGAAGACAGATCATTATACCAACAAGACACATGCACTCATAAGTTCATTGCTGCACTATTCACAATAGCAAAAACATGGAATCAAATTATGTGCTAATGGTGGATTGGATAAAGAAAATGTAGTACATATAAACTACAGAATAATATACAGTCATGAAAAAGAATGAAATTATATGCCTCTTAGCAACATGGATGGAGCTGGAGGCCATGATTCAAAAATTAATGCAGGATCAGAATACTAAATACTACACATTCTCACTTACAAGTGGTAGCTAAACATTGAGCACACATGGATGTAAACCTGGGAACAATAAACACTGCAGACTACTAGAGAGTGGAGGAGAGGAAGAGGGTGTAGGTTGAAAATCTACCTATTGGATACTATCCTCCCTACCTGGATGCAATATACCCATGTAACCAACCTGCACATGTGCCCCCTGTAACTAAAGTAAAAGTTAAATTAAGAATAATAAAGAAATCCAGTGTGTATTTTATACTTACATTACATTTCAATTTGGAATAGTGGAGTGTTCAATAGCCCATGTAGCTAGTGGCTGCCCTATTGGACAACACAGGCCTGGAGTTTTTCTGGAAGAGGCCTCAAAAAAAAAGTTAACAGGGGTTGCTTCTCAGGAAGAGAACTAAGAGACTAGGGGTAAAAAGAGATAGCAACCTTACTTTTAACCACAAACCCTTCTGTATTGCTTGAATTATGTGTCAAGTATATGGGTTGTCTGTATAGAAAAAATACACCACAATAGACAGACATACAGACAGAGTCTTTGGGCAACACTATCAACAGCAAAGCTTCAAAGTCAGGGCAAACAGAAAGCAGAAACTAGGCAGAGGAAACTCACAAACAGATGAGTTTGCTATTGAGTCATGTGATTAGGCTGGTCCTAAAACAGGCTACACAATACTGCCTAGAGTGGGAGAAATATGATAGGAGTTCCTATCCTAATCAGGCTATAGACTATCTAACAATATTATGAAAATGAAACATCAATTGAGGGTTTGTCTGAATGTCTGATTCCATTTCAAAGGCAGTTTATAGTTATAATGAGTATCATGCAACATGACATTTATATATCCTTGGAATTTATCAAAGAAATGTAAGATATTTATTTTGTTTTCTTCCACTGAAACTTTGATCTTTTGAATTTACTCCTACAGGTAAAATCCTTGTCCAGTTTTGCACAGAGATAGAAGCCATGAAGCCAGGCTAGTTGAAGTAAGTCAGGCCTATGAATTGAACTGACCCTATCTTGTATATGAGTTTCAATAACTGGGCTACTTTCCCTCCTTCCATATAAGCAAGCACCATTCTGACCATTAATTTCAGGAGCCCTTTCCTGCTCTTGTCTCTCAGGCCTAAATCCTTTTCTCAGTTACTAAAAAGAATCCATCTAATGCCGAGGTCTTTTCTCTTCAGACCAACCACTAACTGCCTACCTCTCAGGACTTGACTCTATTTTTTTTTCTGATGTTGCTGGTATGTTAGTCTGGTCTTTTATTAATTAATCAAGTGAGCTTTTTCTTCCCATTATATTCTTATAATTGTGTCTGGTCTTTAGTCTCTCTGGCATTTCTCTGACCTCTCTCACTGTCCTGGAACCATGTGGAAAATACCATGCCATCTCTAACATTTGCATTCTTCATTGCACATGGTTCAGGCCACAGCCTGTGTTTGATAAATACTAATTAGCTGGATAAGGAACTAAGTCATGATGCCAAGTTGCAGGATTATTAAATTATAATTGTAAAAATTACATTTTTAAAATAAAATGAGTGAGGCAGACACAGTACCCTTAAGCCTAGTGAATATGATGTTTGATGCTAGTTATACATGTGATAGTGCTGTATGCTCTCATGAAAGGTATTTCTGAAAGTTTATTTTACCATTTTCCTCCTTTTTAATCTTAATTTTATCATTCATTCTCCTCACTGTATTATTTTTCTGTATTTTTCTCAATGTTCTCATTTTCCAATTTTCCTTATTCTTTAATGTCAATGTGCTATTTTGTATTGTATTTTCCTCTGTATTAGTTCGTTTCAAGACTTTTCTCCTTTTATTCAAAACTCTTAACCAACATCATTTAGTCTGGCACAGCATAGTGAGCTCAGCAAATATAAAAGTAAATAAATAAACAAACCTGTGCCAATTTTCTGGTTGAAATCTGAAAAAATATTACTCAAAAGGTTGACTCTCTATTATTAAAGGCATGACATTAAATAAGAATTATGTTTACAACATAGGAACTTTACCTGCTGAAGTTGGTTCTTCTTCATCTGATGCTATGATAAGAGGAAAAGGTGAAATGGGGGTGGGGTAGAAGTGAAGGGAGGGAGAAGGGGGGAGAGAGAAAGAAAGAGAAAAAGAGATATTGAGATTGAACATAAATATATTTCACATTTCCAAACACTAACTACAAGCCCCTGACTTGTAATTTTGTGTATACATTAGAAAATTGTCATGATTTAATAACAGATTAATGAGTATTCACATTAAATAAAAACATATGTGCTCCTATACTTTAAAATATCTATTAATATTTGTTAGAAAAAAATTGAATTGTCTGAATTTGATTTTCCTTTGCAAATAAGATTAACCTTAGTTAATTTGAGTATAAATTATTATAAATATTGCTGCTGAAAAATATGGATTGTATATAACATAGAGCTACCCCACCATCAATTTTCTATTTGGCAAAGAGGAATTAAAAGTCATGGCTGATGGTCAAAAATTGTGTTCCATGAGATAGAAGTTATAAGAAAGGAAGAATTAAACTTCAGGGTGACTCAAAATCACTTTGGACTTTTCTTTTTTTTTTTTTTTAGATGGAGTTTCACTCTTGTTGCCCAGGCTGGAGTGCAATGGCACAATCTCGGCTCACTGCAACCTCCGCCTCCTGGGTTCAAGCAATTCTCCTGTCTCAGCCTCCTGAGTAGCTGGGATTACAGGCATGTACCACCACACCTGGCTAATGTTGTACTTTTAGTAGAGATGGAGTTTCTCCATGTTGGTCAGGCTGGTCTTGAACTCCTGACCTCAGGTGATCCGCCTGCCTGGGCCTCCCAAAGTGCTGGGATTACAGGCATGAGCCACCGAACCCGGCCTGGACTTTTCTTAAACATGAAGATTCCAGTTCTCTCTCTCTCTCTCCCACTACGTGATGTGTGTGTGTGTGTGTGTGTGTGTGTGTGTGTGTGACATACACACACTTACATATACCACACACTTCAAAATTTAGTAGTGATGATTCTGTGGTAAGGACACCGGAACCTGCATTTTAAAGAGTGACCCCAGGTGGTTCTGACTTATGTTCTGCAACCCACATATGGATACACATAGACATTATAAAAGAGGAGGCCACAATACGAAAATACAATTTTATCCTTGGGTAGTGGTTACCAACCCTGTAAGTATATTAGAATTCCAAATTCTGGGCTCCACATAGAACCAATTAAGTCAGAATCTTTACATGGTATTAACTTGTAGCCAGGATTGAGGTATTACTAGGCAATATCAATGTAAGATAACATTAACTGTAACTCATACAAGTGTGAATCTTGTTGATTCCTGTTTTAAGAGGTAGGAAGGTTTGAGAGCAGCAAGATTCCAAGGGCAATAACCTACTGCCCTGTGTATGTGGAGGATGGAGCACAGCAATTACAAGAGTGAAAAAGAAGTTTGTCTGAAGCAGCTTCACAATTTTGCCTAGAATCCATCTATTCACTTTTATACTTCAACACACACTCTGTGAAGAAGTATTTCTGCTCTGTACAGAACTGCAGTTTACCCAGAATATTACCGTTGAATTATATGACACAAGCCAGTCCTATTTCACTTGATTCATGAAGTTTTAAAATAAAAATTTACTCAGCTGAATTGCTTATAAAGGAACTTTGTTCCCAGCGGATTCGTTAATCAAGGTATCACTGTGTAGCCAGGGAGTGGTCTCCACTCTTTTCCGTTAAGGTTACATCTGCGCAGAGTACACATTAGACAAGCTGACTTTGTGTCCTGACAGTGTTTTCTTCTCACACTGTTTGGCTCGCCTCCTTGGCACATAAAGAAATGGAGAGAGCAAACACAGTTGGCATGCATGGCGCAGAGAACATAAATATTTTAAAAGCTGTTTGCCGCTTTATCATGTCCAAAATATATCATAACATGTTCAAAGAGGAAAAAAAATGGTAGCTTCCAGGAATTCCCTTTTAGGAAAATACCACAGGGGCTTGCAGAAGTGCTGACTTAGATGAGTTATTGTTAACAAAATCTAGAGATTCAAAAGAAAAAAAATCCTTACACTTATGGCTGGTCACTTTATGTGTATGAACTCATTTAATTCACAAAGCAACCAATGAGATGAAAATATTTCTCATTTGATAAAAGAAAGTACAGAGGTTCAGAGTGACTGAACAATCTGTGTGAGTTCAATTTGAATTTGAGCTCATGTCAGTGTGACTTTAAAACTGAACTTCTTCTGCTGTGCCTTATTGTATCACAAAGTGCTGATTCCGTTTCTACTTAAAGATAAAAACTAGACGGCAGAGTTTACCGAAATTCACTAGGTACTATTTAAAGTGTTGGGTCATGGGAGTAGTTATGCTCCTAATAATGTTAGCTGGACTTAAGCATAAAACTGGGGGAGAAAAGAAAGAAAAATTGATACAGAGGCTGAGGAGAGAAATCCTTTCAAGAAATGGAGTTCTTTGGAAGCTTCTCCATTTCCCTTACAATCCAGGGACAGACATAGGCAGCTGAGATCCTGACTGGTTAAACAAAGCACCCTAAAGAAGTGATGTCTAAGAAGGAAGACTGGAAGTTGCTAAGATTTTACTTTTCCATTATGTAAGAACAAGCAAGAAATTTTAGGAAGGAATTAGCAAGTACAGAAATGAAGACAATTCCAAATTTAGTAAGAGTCATAGTAATCAGAACCTTTGAAAAAGCAAATCCCACAGGGCAAGCTGTGCACCAATCTACACTTGAATTTGCAATACCTGAAAGTATCTTTGTTACAAATTAACAGAATTACAGCCAGCAAATACACAACTTTGCAAAGATTTCTCTATGTAACATCTACATAGCAGTGCTTCCTTGATATGGGTAGATGTCATTAACCAATATTCATACTATTCACACTCATGAAGGCATATACACAAGGGTTACTATTGGTAATAATCCAGCTTTAGTTATCTCTGTAACAAAGGCAGCATTTCAGGCTAACTGCTTTACTGAACAAAACATCATCAACTATTAACAGGTGGCAACTAGAGCCCCAGAGTAAAAATAAACCTCAAAGTGGGCATTAGTTGCCTTATTAATGACATTTCTGCGAAACAAGTATCACAGAAGGTACTATCATGCTACCCAAATGATTATTCTCTCTTCCTCTCAGAAGTCATAAAATCAGCAATTAAAATAAAAATCAGAGTCTATGGCACATGTAGTCTCTTCTAATTCTGGGAATTTAAACACATTCACCAAGAAAACCAAAAATAAGCAACCCAACAAATAAGTGTATTGCTCCACTTGGTCAGCATTTAGAAGAATGTACTGAAATTATAATGATGGTAGGAAAACAGAGGTAAAAAAATATATCAGACATATAGAATTTAAGTAAGTGTAATCCTCCTATCACCCATAACAGAATCTTCCTGGGTGTCTGTTAAAATGCCCCACACCTACTGAATTTGAATATTGGGTTTTAGCCCAGGCTTCTGCATTTTTTATAAGTTCTGTAGATAATCGCCACGAACACTAAATATTGAGAATTCTGACTCTAACCCATCAAAGTTTATTTCACTGGGAAACAGCCATGGGTACCATTGTTGGAACCACAGCAGTAAATTAGTAGGCTTACAGAAAACCCTTTGCAATTTATATTCCGGTTGTTTCACGAGATTTCAACACTGTTTTCTTGTATCATCTTCAGATTTCATTGGGTATCTATATCAATGCTTTAGGGAAAGATGACATCCCCTTTGGATTTAATAAATGGTCTGTATCTCAGAACTAACTAAATCTGTTCCCTTTTCTTGGCCACAGTTATTGGCCTAGATATAGGCATGTGACCCATTTGGGGACAAGGATATGTAAGGAGATATTTGTGTGTATTTAGGTGGGGAGAGGCTCTTGGAAAAAAAAGGCCTCCTCACTCTTCTCAGAAAGTGTCTGGAAATAACCCCTTCTCACTCTCCTTTAGATGTAGACACAGAGGCTTGTGGCCCCAGAAGTCATTGGCATGCACCTTGCAACCATGATGGGAGACAGATCTGGAAGAAAGCTGATCCTGCTCAAAGGCAGAGTGCAGAAACAAAGATTTTAGAATCTTGATGAGATTGTTGAGCCACTGAATCATATCAACCATGAATCCTGACCTTTCTTTGGACTTCTAGTTCTAGGGAAAATACATACTGTGTATTATTTGAGTTGAGCTTTTTGTTATTTACATCTAAATGGCAATCTGCTACAATCCTAATCAGTTTTGTTGTTCCTTTTAAAAATATTAGAATGCATAAGAAATTAATTATCTGAGGCAGCTGAGACCAGAAGTACACACAGCCTCAGGCTATGCATTCAGTGGGCAGCTGAGATTTCAGTGCTTTATTTTTCCAGGGAGCTTACCACCATGCTTTGATACAATAAACCTATTCCTTGATTTTTAAGTTAGTCGCTCTTTTGCAGGACATTCCACCAGTGTACATGTTCCCATGTTCCTGAAGTGTGGTGGTACTTGGGAGGACAGGAAGGCATCATACAGACTCTCCTTGACTTCCTTCCTTTCTTCCTCACTCTCTTTCTCTTTTTCCCCACAAGTATCAACTGTGAAGTACAACTACCCAGGCCCAGTGGGCCGTATATTACCCTGATACAACACGATACTATAACACTTAAGTTTATTCATTAGACAGATTCCAGTCTCTTTGTGTGGTTTCAACAATTCTTACATATTCTGTTTTTGTCTGTTTCATTTTTGAGTGTTTTAAGTAAACTTTTATAACTTGGAAATTATACCCATTAAAAACAATTTTACACCCAGTGTGGCTTACCATCAAATAGGAAAATCTCATTATGAAATATAAAAACTACATTTCTTAGTATATTATAACATATTTTACATGTGAATGTTAATTCAGAGTGACTTATTGATCCTTTTGTTGGCTATATCATAAATTTGGTTAAGCATGTACCAAATATGTTTTCAAGCATATAATTATCTAGTCATTAGTTATTTCCATAACAAGAACTATGTATTATTGTATTCTGACAATATTTTACAATGTTTTATTCAACTGCAGTGATGCAAAAATAGCAATCATGATATTTATGCTTGATTATTTATGCCTACCCAGATGTCAAGTGCTCTACATGTGTGTGTATGTTTGTGTGTTGAGGGAAGCAGAGGCATTACTAAAATTAGAGTAAACTATTATTTAAATTTGTGAACTCAGTCATTAAAGAAGGATATGGAGTTGCCTGCGGACGTATCCATAGAAGTACTGAGAGAGAGGTTTGGGTTAATTTGGTTTTTGTTTTATTATTTGTTTATCTGTTGTCCTTGGCCAATGGCCCAACTGGGATATGACTTTGTACTTAAAGGTTGCTATTACTAACTTCTTCCCTGTGAAAAGTATAACAAAGATGATTAGTTTCCTCTGGCCAAATATTTCAGACAGCATATGATGTGGTCAACTCCACAATCTCAGAACTGCAGAGTATTTGGGTCACTGTGAGGCACAGCATTGGATTTGCATAGAAAATGCTTGAATAATCAAAATGTTTCCATTCTATCAACATTTTACATGCATTGTGATTCCTGTGCAAAATTTGGAGAATGGCATCCATTGAAGTATTGATAATATATAACACATAAAACATAATTTTGTACACATGTAGTTAGCATGTAAACATATATTGAATTTTTATTAGTCTCTCCCATTAGACTAAGAGTTTCATGAGGACAGGGCTGTAGCATTTTTTTGCTCACCATTACATCCGTAGTTTTCAAAACAGTGTCTGGAACACTGGAGGAACTGAATAAATATTTGTTGAAAGAAAAGATACACAAATGTTTAATACAGTCATTTGTATTAAATAAAGCTCAGCTGCTTCATTTTGTAATATTATTAAATTAATCAAAGAAAGCCTTACATCTCTGTATATGTTTCATCATATAAATATATACATAATTATATATAGTTTCTATAGCTATATGTCATTATATAAATCAGATTTTCCTTCTTGGGGTAGGAAGGAAACAATATAATTATTATAAAGACAATGGTTGCTCTAAAGACCATTAGATTATCTCATGAAAAATTAAATCTGTGATTTTTAAACTAACTCAGAAAACATGAAACTATGATTTATTAATTAAGTAGATTCATTTAAACAGAACCACAAAATGTACTTTTAATGTTTAGTGGTGATATAGTTTACATGGGTTTTACAATGTATTTATACAGTGAATCATTTTAACAGCAATTACCAGTGCATTTGTGATTCTCTCATTTTAGAAAGAGGTATAAATGAGAAAAATAACAAAAAAGAATGCAAGCTTTGGGTTCAATTTTTGCCACTGAGTAAGAAAACTAAAACTAAACTGAACAAAAACACGTATTTTATAAAAGTAAGCCAGAGTACTGGGAAGCTGGAAAGTAATATGACTCAAATAGCCTACATTCATATCCCAGCTGTTATTAGTCTTTGAGAACATAATTAGGACAAATTCTCTTACTTAAAGGAAGTAGTAAATATCTTTAAGTTAGGTGATTTGATATAATAAGGGGACTTACAATTCAATATTTTGGTGTATCTATTCAATTGTCCTTAAATATCCTTTGTTTATTAAATGTGCCCTTCCTCCCTATCCAAACCCAAACCATCCTTGTCGACTGAATTCAAGTTTCACCACCTTCAACTCCTTAGTATTTATTTCAGTCTCCAGATATTCCCTTCTAACCCCACTACCTTTTAAACTATAACCGAAAGCCAGTTCTAAACAGAATGGTACATAATATTTTCCAGCTTTGTTTCCCAAGCTGGACATTATTCTTCCTTGGAGGGCAAATGTTTTAATTTTGCACAGTGTATATAATTGGTTCTGAGTAAATATTTTTGGAAAGTTGTCCAATTTTAAATTGAGAAAATGAAGTCCAAAAGTAAATTTAATGACTGTTTTTACCCTTTTTTTTTTTAGCTTTGTAAAATGAGGATTGAAAATTAAACCTAAGAAAATTCATGGGCAAATAAAACGAAGAAACTTGTAAGGGATAAAGCAGATCAAAAGTTAATATAAATGATTTCTCAGATTTATCCATTTTCAATAAAATTAATAAATTCATAATCTTTTTGAAAATTTAATACAGGAAAGAGAGAATCATTAATTCTACAATGAGAATGCTGTTTAATGTCACTAGAGAAGCCATGAAGCCGAGGCTACCAGCTCACTAGATATGAATTTCAGATGGTCACAGCATCCATGTTATTTTGTTTCATAGCACCTGACAGCAGGAAGCTGATACTCTCAGGCTCCTTTATGTTCTATGGATTTCTGCTTTATTTATGTGTGGGAGACTACTCACTTCAACCTCAATTCATTTCCCTAAGTCTGGACAAATGAGCTAATCTAAAAAGCAAATCTGCTAAAACCAAAAGAACAGAAAACTAAAAAGTAATGAATTGATCAGCAATACTGGCACAAATCTCAGTGACAGTATCCACTTAAGAAAACCACAGAATCATTGCACATAAAATGTTAATGCTGGACAAGACTTAATGATTAAGAGTGTTGTCAAAAAAAAATCCATTGGTACAATGGGTTAAGGTTTGCATTAGAAAATAGAAGTATATTTATTAAATCACCTAAATTACTAACTAAAATTCACCACAAGCAGAATTTTGAAGTAAATGGATATGGCATAATTTGTTTCACTAAGTCTTTAGTGAATAATACTTGGATGAATTCCAGGACTTCTGTCTTATAAATGAGGTTTCAATGAATAATCAGATTTCATTTGAATCATGGTAGAAACAAAGAAAATAAATTATCTAATACTTTTATTAAATAAAGTCCATAATCCTAAACACAATGTAAAATATTTGCTTTTTGTAAGAAAGATTTTTAAAAGATCCTCTTTGATGCCATCCTTTTTGATGCCATCAGCCTATTTTTTAAAAAAAGGACTATGCTTCTTAAATATATTGGATGATATTATATTTCTGCCATTTTCCTGTGAATGTTACTCTCTTGCTTTAATAAAGTTACCATTAACAGAGATATAGTAAAACTTCCAATGTCTGATGTCCAATAGCACAAAACACAGAGACAAACAAATGACTGATCCATGTGCCTGGCAGATGCAGCCTTAGACCAATTACTGGTTTCCCTGCCCATCATCCCACCCCAGTAGAGATGCTTAGGGCTGAATACTGAATATTCTGTGTCTTCTGAGATATAAATAATATAAAACTTCAATGCTTTTAAAAAATAAATGGTGATGAATTTAAAGATAGAAAATTACTTCATGGTAGAATCTTGGCAAACGGTGTGTGTGTGTGTGTATGTGTGTGTGTGTCACAACCAAGTATTTCATATGGTTACAGTTATTTCAAACATGACTTTTTACCATTTTAATATCTGTGAGGTCTTTTAGTAAAATATCATTGCCTTTTCATTGCTTATATTCCAAAATAATTCAGAAATTTTACAATGGCTTTGAAATGATGTGTTCCCAAAATATAGATCGACACATTTGGCTTAATTAAAATATATTTTGAAATTCAAAAGATGAAGGGGGAAGAAAAAAAAACAGTGGGCAGGTCTAACTTGAAGAAAGATGAGATATTTCCGTGAAATCTGTACGTGTCATTTTGGTCAGGGGGAGTTATCTTTTTCATGTAGTTTTAACTCATCTCAAGGACACTAACCATAAGAAATAAAGCACAATTTCTGCTTGATTACGTAGAGCTAATCTAATGTGCTACTGCCTTTATGTAACAGTGAGTTAATGACTGCTTTAGAGGATTTTTTTTCTTCCTGTTACAACAGGAGCTAAAATTAAATGTTTTTTTTTTTTTTTTTTCAGAATCATTAGGACCTTCTTGAAAGGAAAATAGTGTATCCACATTTGGGTGTTAATCATATAACATTGACAATGTAATTTTCTTATCTGCAAAACTTGTCTCCCTAGGCTAAATTTCTCCTTAATTGGGATGTCTTTAAAGAACTCAACTGATAAAAAAGTAGACAGGCCTAACTTTAAGGCAATGAAAATTGAATAAAGGTGCAGGACTATTCAGGGTGGGCCCACACCACATTTTTCTAATCTTTTAGAATATTTTCAAGTCTTGAATGCAAACTATTAATTTCTACCCTTCTAACAGATCCAATCTGCGGACCAAAAAATCTATATATCTTTCAAAATTTCTAGAGGCAGGGAACTCAAAATCTCATCAAGGAACATGTCATATCTCTCTCCCAGAGCTCACCTCTAGAAAACAATGGACTAATGAGGCCCATTCTTTGACAGGCCAGTCATTCAAATATTTAAAAGCTATTGTAATTCTTTTCTTAACTGAGATAAATATCCCTACTTAATTTTACATATTATGGTATATACACCCTAGTCATCATTTTTGTTGACCTACTCTTGATAAACTCAAATTTGATAACGTATTTTAAAATATAGTAATGAGAATGGAAACAGTACTCCAGATGTGATCTAACTAGCACAAAATACAATGGTGTTATTACCTGTCTTGTTTAGGCGGCTTTATAACAACCAGCAATCCAACATTGTAAAGAATTAATTTCCTTTCCTTCCCTCCTTCAGCTACATCTTTTTTTTTTAATTATATTTTAAGTTCTGGGGTACATATGCACAATGTGCAGGTTTGTTACATATGTATACATGTGCCAGCACATGTATGTTTATTGCGGCACTATTCACAATAGCAAAAACTTGGAACCTTCAGCTACATCTTATGGACCAATTCCTAGAGTACTGGGAACTGGTAATCTTATCTTCTTGCTGCCTAAAGGCAAGATTAGTCAGAGGAGGTCATGCTTGGGGTTGAGTCAAGGGAGAATATAACTGGCATGCAAACAATGTCAAAGGTATCTTTGCAACGGGAAAGAATTGCAAAATTTTGCAACAAAGAAAAGCCTTAAAGACATACTTTCAATCTTTCACTTTCTCTCTAGCAAAGAATCTAGTTTGCATATATTTCACATGTAGTTGATTAAAGTCCACAGACAGGAAAACCAAACATTTGTTCTAATGGAAACAATTTCCTTAGTGTCCAAAACTAGTGTCCATCCAGCAGAATATAAATATTTTGTAGTTTCTCATGAAATTTTCCATGTCAACTGACATTTCTAGTTGTAGATGTTTCTCCTGGAAACCAGCTTTAAAAGTTTACAGCTGTTTCTTCCAATAACTAATTTCTGGTTAGAAATTCTAGATTAAAACTTAGCATCAATTTCAGTCAATGAGCCACATTCAGCCCTTTCCAAATCAACTACCTATTAGACCAAGTCCTGTCAAAAATAAAATAATTAATAAATCAAAAAATAAATTTATCTTGGAGGCAGAATAAAACTGTAATAGAAAAATGTACAATTTAAACAATGTAATCCTCAAAAGAAAAGCCTGAGGTAGTACTTAAATGCTGTTCAGATAAGAGCTTTGTGTTCTTTTGTTTTTATGATTACACACTTGAATAATATATTATCAAGGGAAGTTATAGAGTCATATTTCTGGGATAATTTTGGAAATAACATTGAAGACTATATTTTGGTTCAAGGAGATGAATAGAGGCTCTATATCCAGGGTCTCCAACTTCCATGGGGCATGAACCGGTATGGGTCCCTGGCCTGTTAGAAACCCGGCTGCACAACAGGAAATGAGCCTGAGCCCCGCCTCCTCTCAGATCAGCAGCAGCATTAGATTCTCATAGGAGCAGGAACCCTATTGTGAGCATGCCTATGTGGGTTATCTAGGGTGTGGCCTCCTTAATCTAATGCCTGATGATCTGAGGTGGAACAGTTTCATCCTGAAACTATTCCCCAACCACCGGTCCATGGAAAAAATTGTCTTCCACGAAACTGGTTCCTGGTGCCAAAAAGGTTGGGGACCGCAGCTCTATGGAATACAGATCCACATTACCTTCCTGGTCTTGCTCCCAATCCTCCCCATAAACACCTTATAAACTGAGCAACCACTAATGCTAATTCTTCTAGAAAGTTTCCCCATGTCTCCTATTAAAACACCTTATAAACTGAGCAACCACTAATGCTAATTCTTCTAGAAAGTTTCCCCATGTCTCCTGTTTTTCTAATTTTTTATCATTCTATATTTGCTTAAAATGTTCCAATATCATAATGTCTACAGATTAAATAAATTTCCATCTCAGCTCATCTCACAAAAGCCACCACAACCATAAAATCTGATTCCTAGGACAGGAAGTGATCTTTCCCCACTTGATACCCATAGCACTTTGTTCCCCTCTTATGATAATTATTTTCTGCATTGTATAATGATTACTGATATGCCTGTCTTACCCTTTCTCAAATGTAAGTATTTAAAAGGCAGAGTCTTTATCATCAGGTCATAGAGAAAGGGTAGATCACAGGCTCTCCATGAAGGCTCAATACACATTTGTTAAATGGAAGATCCTAATGTTCTTTTTTCCCTATGATTCTATCTTTATGCAAAACCACAAAAAGCTTATTGTTGATCTATCATATCCAAGAAACTAATATTAATGTGCTATCATAAATTCCAACTTGGTATTTATTATACCTTTACAGGATTCCCATTTTGCAATCTTATAAATAAAAAAATCAATTCATAACTTATTTGCTCTAAGCATAAGGAAGGCTAGATTCCTAAAGGACTGATTCCTAATTATGCAAGCCTTACCTACATTACTCATAAATTTCATATAATAAAAAATAGGGCTCTCTTTTTCCCATATGAAATGAAGTGATTTGTCAAATTATATGTTGAAGGAAATAAATTTTTTGAAAAATTAAAAGCTGACAACTAAATTGCCCCCAGTTTGTGTATTCATGCACCAACAGGAAAAAAAAAAAACAACCTGACATAAAAATAATAAGTCAGTACTTATTGGACATTTCAATAATTTTATTAATGACTAAAATGATGAAAGAATAGTCAGAGGCCTAGATGTTTGATTTCTGCATGTAGCTTTAAAATAGTATATAAGGTTTAATTATTTATATCACTTAATTAGTAACTCCTGGGTGGCACTTATGAGCCAGACACTGTTTTAAGATCCTTACATATATTGAATCATTTAATTTATACAAAAGCAGCCGGGCGCGGTGGCTCACGCCTGTAATCCCAGCACTTTGACAGGCCGAGGTGGGCAGATCACGAAGTCAGGAGATCGAGACCATCCTGGCTAAAACAGTGAAACCCCGTCTCTACTAAAAGTACAAAAAAAAAAAAAAAAAATTAGCCAGGCGTGGTGGTGGGCGCCTGTAGTCCCAGCTACTCGGGAGGCTGAGGCAGGAGAATGGCGTGAACCTGGGAGGCGGAGCTTGCAGTGAGCCGAGATCACGCCACTGCACTCCAGCCTGCGCGGCAGAGCGAGACTCTGTCTCAAAAAAAAAAAAAATTTACACAAAAACCCTTTGAAGTTGGTACTGTTAACCCCAGTTTTACAGATGAGGAAAGTAAGGTGGAGAGAGATTAAGTAACTTGCTCAAAGTCACAGACTTAGCAAACAGAAGTACCAAGATTTCAACTCAGCCTGGCTAGCTTCTTAACCACACCCCCATGATGCTGTCCTTGAAAGAATGTGTTCCTTCAGATATTTACACACTACAGAATTCCAGTAGAGCATGCTCAGCATGTAAGAAACACTGGAATTAGAAGTATTATTTTTGGCTAGGTGCTGTGGCTCATGCCTGTAATCTCAACATTTCGGGAGGCTGAGGTGGGCGGATTGCTTGAGCCCAGAAGTTCAAGATCAGCCTGGGCGACATGGCAAAACCCTGTCTCTACACAAAGTACAAAAACTAACCAGGCTTGGTGGAGTGTACCTGTAGTCCCAGCTACTTGGGAGGCTGAGGTGGGAAGATCACTTGAGCCCCGGACATTGAGGCTGCAGTGAGCCATGATTGCATCATTGCACTCCAGCATAGGCGACAGAGACCCTATCTTAAAAAAAAAAAAAAAAAAACTTCCAAAGAAATATTATTATTATTATTTCTTCGAGTTTGAAAGTAACCCTCCCCATATGTGTAACAGGCACAGCTTAATTTGAACACAAGCACTGCAGTGTGCAAAAAGCATGGAACAAAATTGTAGGTTTAACACCTGTTCTTCCACTGAGCAGGAATCAATGACCTTGGTCTAATCATTACATTTATCACAGAATCCCCTTCCCGTTTAACACTGACATTGATATTAGCTCCCTTGTTTATTTTCAGGTTATTTTATGTGTGTGTGTGTGTGTGTAAATGAATGGTGCACTCTGAAAATACAGGCAAAATTAAAGGGAAAAGGGTGAGGAAAAAAGTCTTTGTCTTTGGCATTACAGTGACCGATAAACTGCATACAAAGACTATCTGCCCACACACTTCAGTGTTTATCACCTGATGTCCTAATAACCAGCAGGGCTCATTGAGAAGTGAGCTTTACTACGGTAGTTGTGGGACAGGAAAGCATTGTGGAAAGTAATACAGCTGGACCTCCATATTTAAGAAGTAATGAAATCTAACCTTGGAAGCCAGAGGCTGTGCTGTGATGCACTCCAATTTATCTATTGCCTGAAGAGCCAAAGTCATTGGTTAAAAGATAGCTAAGTTGACACAAACAGCATGTGTCTTGTTCTTGAAAATGTTTGTAGCTCCTTGTGTAGATGAGTAACAATAATGAGTTCTGTGTCCAGTGGCTCCCTGTGATTTGGATGAAGCACTTCTGGTTTGATTTCACAATGAAACCTTAGCAGATAAAGACATTGTGGGGTTATATGAACACATTGTATTAAAAAGGTGTTAATTCTTATTTGAAATTTGCTATATTTTCCAAGGATTAGTACGTAAGAAAACAAATATCTTTACTGGGTTCTATCTCTGGCTGAGAGATGGAAATTTTGCCCTCCCTATTTTTCTTTCCAGGCCTTGATTAAAATAAAAAGAAGATAACAATAAATATTGATTGTTGTCTATTTTAAATCATAGCTTGGTTAATTTTATACTCTCAAAGGCCAAAATTAAATATAATCTGGAAATGATTCAGCCCAATTCTACTCTCATTATATGACTCATTTAAAAATTGTTACCCATGTACTTTAAGCATATGGATTATGGAATTTTCTTCACATAAATACTTTGATATATGTTAAACAATAAGTTGTCTTACAGTACAAAGTCACCTTGAGATGTAACCTAGTTTTTCTATGGCTCCGGGGAATGTGGCCAAACAAAACTCCAGAAACGATGACATCTACTTTAAGCTCTTTAACAAAGAATCCATGCCTCTATTTCATCTCAGTAACCCTTATGCTTTATTGTAGTAATTCCTCATATCAAATAGCATGATTCTAGCACATAGGAGATACCAATAAGATTTGTATTAGATGTTACAGCAGGAGTCTGTAAAATTTTCAAGAAATTAATCCAACCTATCAAAACACTTATGTATTTATTTACTTATTTAGTTAGTTTGAAGCAGTCTCTCTCTTTTGCCAGGTTGGAGTACAGTGGCATGATCTCAACTCACTGCAACCTCTGCCTCCCAGGTTCAAGCAATTCTCATTTCAGCCTCCTGAGTAGCGGGGATTACAGGTGTGCACCACCACACCTGGCTATTTTTTTTTTTTTTTTGTATTTTTAGTAGAGAAAAGCTTTTACCATGTTGGCCAGGCTGGTCTTAAACCCCTGAACTCAAGTGAACTGCCCGCCTTGGTCTCCCAAAGTACTGGGATTACAGGCATGAGCCACTGCTCCAGGCCAAAACATTTATTTTCAATGAATTCTTAAAGTGTCATATCTTTGTCTTCATTCTATCTTCTGTGTTACTAGTAGTATGAGGAAAGATGAGAACAAAGGCTGTGTCATTCATCCGTTAGCCCTTTACTTTCTTTGTCCACTTACCCTAAGCTTTCTTTGTCCACTTACCCTAAGCCTGTTCCATACTTTAGATTGGGGTCCTACCAGTCCGTGGCCTGTTATGAACCAGGCAGTAGGTGAAAGAGCATCACTGCATGAGCTCCGCCTCCCGTCAGATCAGCAGCAGCATTAAATTCTCATAAGAACACAAACTATTGTGAACTGCATATGCAAGGGATGTAGGTTGCGTGCTCCTTATGAGAATCTAATGCCAACCCACCTTCTGTGGCAAAATTGTCTTTCATGAAACCCAGTCCTTGGTACCAAAGAGGATGGGGACTGCTGCTGTAGATGCTCTAAAACATGATTTAAGCTTTCTTTGATTAAATGCTTATTCCTTCTCTCATTGGTCTTGATTTTAGAGAATGTCCCTTTCTTTATAGTTTTTATTAACTAAACTCTTCACTCTTCTTTATATACGCCTAGTTCTAGTTTACCCTTTTTTAAATGTTTTATGGCCTACTACAGTAATCAAATGTTTGAATGAAAATTAAAGGAGATATAATCACATTATTTAAAAAATATATTTGATAGGACAACAATCTCTTCTTTTTCTCTTCATGTGTATTTTTCTTTTCCTATTATACAAATCAAATAACTCCAAATCTATATTACTATGAATAAGTGAGCATAAGTCCATTAAGCTTCCTCTTCATTATAAATCTCAATTTCTCTGATGATAACATTTCAACACCTTGTCATAACTGCTTAAAAGTTAATGTTTTTTAAATGACTTGCTTTATTTGGATACCATAGTTTATGGTGCAAATAACTTAATCTAAAGGAAATAACAATAGGTATAATTTCCTAGAATAAAGAAATAGATTCATGTTGAAAATCAATGAAGAAGATGAAATCAAGTAACAGAATGAAAGATTGTAAAGATTTTTGGCATGTTTTACATAGTATCATATAAGTGATTTGTGAGTCTTCTATAGATTGCTTTTCCATGAAAGGGAAAAGCTGGAAGATAAAATCTTTCCAGAGATTAATGCTAAATTTGCCACTGTGGCCTATCACTTTGAATTTGTAATTTTCATTTTCATAAGTGTATAGAATTATATATTTTGGCTGTGCCACAAGTGATTTCAGGTTAGGAGTAAAAGGGCAATTTGATATTACCTTCAATTTTCACCTTCCTATTTTTTCAATAATTTTTTCTAAAATGTAAAAAAAAAAAAAAAAAAATCTAAGTTTTTCCTTAAGAGATTTTACCTTTTTACTCCTTATAAAAATAATTGAAGAGCTTTTGCTAAAGCCAATGTGATTAGGATTTGTGTAATCATGGCCATATATTTGTGTATAACGTAAAAAGAAATATCTGCAAACATACCTATGTGTTTATCAACTTGTTGCTTTGCCAATAAAACTCTTCAAAAATAAAATTAAAAAGAGAAGCAACATTCCACAGCAGATTGTAAAACTAGCCACAAACTCCTCCCCTTCTTGCATCCGCACATTTGTAAAATGAAATTGCATATATTCCCCTCAAAAGTGTTGTTAGCTACTGTGAGGCAAGCCGAGATTTGAAAAGTGCCTTTTAGGACTCGATCTTTCTTACTACTCTTGACACCTTTGCCACTGCCACTACGTAATAGTAGAGATCAGTTAACCATCTTCTATCCAGCGCCAGCTGACTGCAGACGCAGATATGAGTGCAACAAAGACGTAAAAGATGTTCCAGAGATGAATATCCACTTAGCTGTCTCACACACTTCTGAGATAATATGATTATTTTTTAATAAATCCATTAAACTCTGTGATTATTTGTTAGGCAGTAAAATACATTCAAATACAAAAGCAGTTATTCCCTATGAATAAGGACATACTCCTAGAAGAAAGGACAGTGGTTTAAATGACATACATCAATTTCTTAATGGGTCATTGTCTTTTCTTACAAATAAAAGCTTTACCACAAACTGGCTTTTACCCTTTGACTGGGCTAGAGTGGCTTTTGGTACTCAATAATATCTAAGGTTCTTTGATGTTATACATTTTTTTCTTTCTGAAAGTTAACATATAATTGTCACAGCTTGGAATTGCAAACTAACAAATTCTAATCATTGTCATTATTAATAAAGCAGAAATATTTTTACATCAATAAGCTAATGAGTTTATATGGTATGTTACAGAATTTTTACACATATAAAATATAATTACTTTTCCATAATATATGCAAAATTAGTACGAAAACTTTCCCTTAATTATCTGTCATCTTAACTGCACAATTATATTTGTTTGTATGAACTTATATTTACCCTTTCTTATTATTAGAAAAGTAAGTAAACATAACTGTGAAAATAAATCCCTTTGACCCTAGTTGACTGGAAAATTTCTTAGCAATCATCTATTGGCTAGCAGCTTTAGAGAAAGTATTTTAGTCCGTGAAACATAGCTCTCATTATGGTAACTTCTAGAAAAATGGATTCAATCATGAGTCTAAGAAGTAATCTTAAGTAGAGGGGAAAATAAACCACCCCGACAACTACTCACAATTTCATCTACTATCTGAAAAATTTAACTGAAATTTACCAAATCCCTCATTTGGTAACCAAAGTCTCGAAATCTAAAATAACCCTACACCACCCAAGAGAGCTACTTAAGGCTCGTTAACTTTCTGATATTTCATGAACACTAACAAGAAGTCTTTCGGACAACGTCAGACTCTATTATACTACTTGATATTCTGACACTGATTGCCTTCTGAAAGATAAACATGAATATGGCTATTCATAGAGTGAAATGTACAGTCAACTTCTAGTTTTTTAAAAAATGTGTATGACAGTCTGTATTTTCTGGGATAAATATATTCAATTTTTCATAATAAAATGAAAGCTGAGGAACAGATTATTAGTGACAATATAGGAGGGTAACACATTTAATAGAATCTGAATTTGTGGTAGAAAAGGGATATCATTACCAAAGGGAAATAAGTTTCTATGGAATATGATAGGTAAAAGAGGATAAGAGAAGATAAAACAGAATAAAATAACTTTTCCTGAATATATATATGTATTTTTTACATGATATGCTATACATATATATATTTGGAAATGAGAAGCCTGGCCAGATGTCAATGTAATTACAGAGAAGATAAAAAGAAATTATAAATAAAATAATATACAGTACTATTATCCTGTACTGACCTACTGTCAATAATACACATACTTTTAATTTTTTCCAAGTGATAATGAATCTTATATTACTACCAAATTCCAATGTTTATATTCTTTGTTTTGTCTGATCATTTTAACAATATTTTACACATATTTACGACAAAGACCATTTTTTAACTGCTATATCCTCAGTGCCAGGAAGAGTGGCACATAGCTGATACTCAAATATTTGATAGATGAATGAGTAAGCAAATAAATAAATAGACAAATGTTTGTTTTAGCCATTTAATTTTTTTCTACAAATTCTTCTACGTGCCACAGTCAAGCTCTTTCTCCACAACGCCAGCAAAACTAATCTTCCGTAAACCAACAAGATCATCCATCAATCACATGTAATCAAAGGAAATGCTTATCTTGCTTAACTGCTCCACAGTACTTGACACTGCTGATTACCCACTCCTTGAGACATTGTTAATCCTGAACTTACTGTGCACCACACTTTCCTGGTTTTCCTTCTACCTGACTACTCTGCCTCTCTGGCTCCTTTA
Organism: Homo sapiens; assembly: GCF_000001405.40. Classification (NCBI taxonomy): domain Eukaryota; kingdom Metazoa; phylum Chordata; class Mammalia; order Primates; family Hominidae; genus Homo; species Homo sapiens. The sequence continues at coordinate 84,248,410 of NC_000005.10, forward strand.
CAGATTTCACTTTCTCTGCCTATCACTTAAATATTGATGGCCTCTTACCGCTTTGTATTTCTAATTCCTCTATTCTTTCCCATGTCTAGCTCTTCTATTCTTTGCTATTATCCTGTTTCTAGACAGACTCATCCATTCCCTAAGCTTCAATAACCATCTATGTAATTATGACTTCTACATCTATGCTTGACTTCTTAGATAATGTCTATCAAATTTGTCAAATTCAACATGTGAAATACTGAACTCTCCTTCTGCCTCCCAATCCTGTGTATTGTCATTTATAATATCTCAGTAAATGATACCCAGTTGCTCAGGCCAGAAACTGGGGATGCCTTTCTTTACTCTTAGTTTCTCCCAAACTCTTTTTCTTCATACCCCATAAATAAGCAATAATTGTCTATGGTATCATCTAAATACTCAGTGACTCTCTCCTCTTCATCCCGTTAGTTACCACATTGACAGAAGCCAAGATCATCATGTCTAGCCTCATCTGCTGCAATTGCCTTCAAATTGTCCCCCTGCTGTATTTTGCTGTAATTTGTTTTCCATATTGCACCAACAGAAATACAAAATCTCTTGTTTTTCTTAGTAAAAAGTTGAAATTTTTTTAAACACTGTACCAAACTCTAGAGTATCTGCCACTTGTCACCATCCTCAGAGTCAGTGCTGGCCACCATGTCCCTTCTCTCTAAGTTTTAGCCACATTTAACTTCTTTCAGTTTATGACATTATACCTTTTTTTTTAATCTCCTGGTTATTCTACACACTATTTTCTCTGTCTGGAATAGGTTTTGTTGTTTGTTGTAGTTTTTAGTCTGCAATAGATTGAAATTATTTTTTAGATTTATGTCTAGATGTTACTTTTTCAGGTTGGCATGCATTCCTTTACACTTAGCTTAAAGCAAGACATCTGCTTTATATTTTTATGGCTCCAGGTACTTGTATCACAACACATAACAACATATCTTTCTATCTATCTATCTATCTATCTATCTATCTATCTATCTATCTATCTATCTATCATCTATTTTTCTATCTATTATCTATCTCCATCTTTCTGTCTGTATGTATGTCTGTCTGTCTATCTATTTGTCTCATCATCTAAACAGCAACTTGTTTATCATTGCCCCTCCACCATTCAAGTAACTATTACTTAGTAAACACTCAATAAATATTTGTTTGAAAATAAATGAAAACTAAGATTTTATTTGTTTAAAAAAAGTCACTTATTTTTTCCCTTTGATTACGTTAATATACTATGTATTTGAGTTGTAAAAGTTTATACTTTTTACTAGTTTAATGGATTACTCTGATAACACACATAGGATAGTTATGCCACAGAACTTGTACAATTTAAAAATTCTCAAGATTTCCATTTATGAACTGTATAATATATACTGATAGGCTGGGAGAGGTGGCTCATGCCTGTAATCCCAGCACTTTGGGAGCCAAGGTGGGTGGATCACCTGAGGTCAGGAGTTGGAGACCAGTCTGGCCATATATATATATGGAAAGAGATAATAGAACATTTATATATATATAGAGAGAGAGATAATAGAAAATTTCTGCATGAAATGAATGTGTCATAATATAGCTCCCAATTACACAGTGCCATCCAGGAATGTGAGTGAGTAATTGGGAAGCAATTTGCGGCTTAGCCACATGGTGGTCTGTCCACAAATCCTCTGGAGAGGGAGGCAGCATTCAGTGCACATCTGTGCAAACACTGGTTAATCTGGGTAATGCCTTCGAATTCAAGAATTTAAAACAAGGGCTTTTTCTTTGCTTTGTTTGAAGAGAAGTTTTCCTACTGCCATTTTCAGATATCAGAAGTGAATCTTAATAACTCTAAGAGGCTGAGCACATTGAGTTGTGTAGGTGTGTGATAGCTGTGTGTGGGGATACAGAGAGGCAGAGAGAGAGAGAGAATGAGAATGCAGTATACAGAAATATCAAAAAATGTCCAGAGAAAAGCAATGTTGTCTAGTGAAGGAAGTTCACAAATCTGAGAAAGTCAATTCTGCCAAACTATCCTACGTAACACAGGAATGCAAGTGATGTGAGTATTGATTGCAAATGTGTTAAGTGTTTTGTGCTTATCTGACATTATATGCTTTGTGAGGGAAGAATAAAAGTACAAAACTGGATGAGGATCGCTTGAAATAAATATCAACAACCTGAAACAAAGCTACTGCAAAGTAGTAAGGTTTGAGGTAAAATCATGAAATGTTTTTCTCTAAGCATGCATTTGAAATTCTCCTTTCCAGATGAACTGCAATGAAAAGAGTATGTGTCTGACTGTAGAATAAACAGGATAAACATAATTTTAAAAACTGGGATCAAAAAACAACTTTTTCTAAGCAAATATAAATGAGATTATTTTCTTTCCTTTGGAAATTAAAAATATAAAGATTCAGAATTTCATAATATATATGGCTCAAAATTCATATGGTCTGAAATGGATAGAAGAAACCTTAGACACATCTCTATCTTTGTGGTAACTAATATGTAAGGAAAAATACAGACTAGTGACAGCTCAAATATTTTTTGTCTTTTAAGATATTACCTCAAAATACCCACATGTGTTTTTTGTTTGTTTGTTTTTTAAATTCCAATACACTCTGTTTCCTGCATTGGTGCTAGATAACAACAGGAGAACAATAACAAAAAAGCCTTGGCCAAGCCATTTATTTTTATTTTTATTTATATATTTATTTATTTGAGATGGAGTCTCTCTCTGTCACCTAGGCTGGAATGCAGTGGCACAATCTCAGCTCATTGCAACCTCTGCCTCCTGGGTTCAAGTGATTCTCCTGCCTCAGCCTCCCTAGTAGCTGGGACTACAGGAACCTGTTATTGTGCCCGGTTAATTTTTGTATATTTGGTAGAGACAGGGTTTCACTATGTTGGCCAGGCTGGTCTCAAACTCCTGACTTCGTGATCCGCCCACCTCGGCCTTCCAAAGTGCTGGGATTACCGACCAGCGTGAGCCACCACGCCCGGCCTTTTTTTTTTTTTCGAAACAAAAACGCAGGATGGTCTTTAGTAATCTAATGTTTGAAATATTTGATCCCAATATTAGTTTTAAAAATATGAAAAGACCCAAGGTAAGCTAGATATTAAAGGCATTACTACCAAGTATTACTATGCAATCAATATTTAGTACACCTTTCATATGCAAGAAAATATGAAGCTAAGAAAAAGCAGTAGAAAGGCAATAGGGTAATGTTTCTGTCATAAATAGGTATTGAACTTGAAAACTGTGCTTGATTTCTCATTATTTTCTGATCCTTTATAAAAATTACGTCATAATATAGGAAAGTTGTATTCAAGAAACTGTCAACACTTTAAGACTTTAGGAAAGTTTTTTCCTAGTATTTTAATGTTAGAACACCAGCACATGAAAATAGAATTGGTGTAACTAATATCCTATACTAAATGATCAAACAAATACAAACTAAATACATTTCTTCCAAAAACTCCTAAATACAGCCCAGAGAAGAATAGGGTTGTATGAAATGTATAATTAAAAAATATAGCTTAAAATAATACAGTATAACTATCCAATTTCTGAATATCAGAGATGTATACTAATATGTAATAATGAATCTGAGTAGAATTTAATTCTATAAGCGTTTAATTTCCCAAAGTCACACTGAACTAGGTGGGATATGGCAGCGTGCTTAGTTTTTAAAGTGTTGCTGCCCATAGTATCAGTCTTCAGATAAAATGTTGAATGTTGGATTAATATTTAAAAGTATAGCCCAAAAGTATACAAGTATTTACTTTAAAATTCGGCTGGCCGGGCGCGGTCGCTCACGCCTGTAATCCCAACACTTTGGGAGGCCGAGGTGGGTGGATCACGAGCTCAGGAAATCGAGATCATCCTGGCTAACACAGTGAAACCCCGTCTGTACTAAAAATACAAAAAGAAATTAGCCGGGCGTGGCGGCAGGCGCCTGTAGTCCCAGCTTCTCCGGAGGCTGAGGCAGGAGAACGGTGTGAACCCGGGGTGCGGAGCTTGCAGCGAGCTGAGATCGTGCCAGTGCACCCCAGCCTGTGCGACAAAGTGAGACTCCGTCTCAAAAAAAAAAAAAAAAAAAAAAAAATTCTGCTAAGATACTGATTTCTTAATCATTTACCTACATTTGTTTCTCTGATTCCAGATTTGGATCTTTCAAATAGTGCCAAAAATATTATATACTATTATACAACTCGAAGGCACTGCCAATTTGGGGTTGTTGGGCTTAAAATACAACACTAAAATTTTACTCTATTCATACATTTCTACTAGGGGTATTTATGACTCTAATTTTCTTCAGATATACAGACTTTCCTGAGGATATGATTCTCACATTAAACTCTGAAACTCAAATGTACATATTTGAAGCCTGGGTCAAAGTGGTTACAACAGTTTTATTTCGATGGCACTGTGTCAAACCTCCTAAAATATCAGTGAGTTAATAAAAGCATTAAAAGAGAATTATCTTTGAAGATGAATTAAATGAACAAAGTACCTTTCAGCAATAATAAACTTCTTTAGATAACATATATTCATAATGCAATATAAAAAATAAGGAAAATTCATTAAAAAAATAAAGCACACTACAATCCAGTAACTAATGGCCAAAGATGGTAAATTAATGGTTTTATTTAATTATTCTTTCTTTCATTCAACCAATAGTTACTGGATTTTTACTATGCATAAGGTAATTAAGTTAGGTGCACTGGGTACAATGATGGGTAATTCAGACTGATCCCTGGACGCTATTACTTTTCTTTTTCAAAACTATTTCCCCAAAGCCATTGAAGTGTCCTGTTTCTCTAAGGTTTATGCAGGTTGACAAAACATGTTTGGTTTCCTATAATGAACAGATATATTCCATCTTGTACTCTTCGTGGTACTAATGCGAAAAATATAAATTTTTTTCAAACTTACCTGTGCTATTAACTTTGAAAATTATTTCTCTCTTTAGTTAGAGAGAAAATCTCTGCACAAGTTTACATGGTGTTAAATTATTTTAAAGTACAGCTATTTCCTTAATGGGGACCTATGTGGAAATTACAGAAGTTACTCTAAATCCATAAGTATACATATTTCGCAGATTTTTTAAAAAACTATTTGAATGTAACCAATGACACATTAATTTTTGCAGAGCAAATTTTTTAGAAAACTTTGAAGAGCACTGCATCTGGAATATCCTCTTCTTTATATGCTTAGAAATATAAAATATATTTATCACCTAAGAAAAGTAATGATTAGAACAGCTACAAAATGCTGATGGATATTCGAAGTCCCTAAAAACATCCTGTTTTATTTACAGTGATAATTTAACTTGAATAAATTGACTTTGGAGTTATGTATTTTATTTGAGAATAAAATGTTAAATTTATATTAATATTAGAAATATAAGAAATGTTATATTTATGTATTATTTGTAATGTCTTTAAATTTAGTGTTAATTACTAAAAATATTTTAAAACTTAAAGAACACAATTAATATAATTTCAATATAAACTGGAAATGATACAACTGAGAATCCTACACAAAAGTAAACTAATTAGCAACATATAGCAATTTTACAACTAATCTCCATAATGCACCACAGCCAAACTGCCATTTATTCATGGAAATAAAAAGATAACTACTGAAATACTTAAATTTTGCACTTACCAACCTCCACAACACTAGAACAGTTGGGGTCTGTGAAGCCATCTGGACACTCACAGGAAAAGGAACCATCAGCCAATCCTGGCAAACAGATACCTCCATTTTCACATGGATTGGGATCACAAATATCACCTAAGGCATAAAAAAAAACCGAAATTGACATTTTTTTTTTGTCTTGGACATTGAAACATACTAGTTTACTTTGCTATGGATGTTCCCTTGGCAAAGTCAAAAGTCAGGGTAATATTAAGATTCACACATAAGATCTGCAAGACTCATTTCAAACCATGTACTCAAAAAAAAATACTATGTAACATGGCAAAAATTAAACTGCATAATTCAAACACTGCCTCTGAAAGCTATTGGTTCAGTTTGGAGTTCCTTCATAATATGTAAAGAGAATGTTGTCTAATTGGTTAATAAATATTAACCTAAATATCTGTAATAGACTAGTGTCATTAATTACTCTAATAAATACCTTCTTTATATCCACACAGTTTACTCTTTAACTCTTTAAAGGACAGGAGTTTATTTCTGGATCCCTAGAATCTGGGCTTGTCCATGTGACTTGCTTTGGCCAGTAGGTCGTTAACAGACTTGAAGACAACAGAGATTTGAAAAGCACTTGAAGACATCTACTTCCTCTCTTGGAGTGCTGAGATCGTCATGTGAATGAATTCAGGCTAGCTTGCTTGAGATGAGTGAAAGAAATGTGGAAGGATAAGAAAGAAACTGCTACAGAGAAATAACTTATGACATAACAGAAACCCCACAATACGTGGCCTTGGCTGTGGCAATGGGTGGCAGATAGTATCTGGAAAAGCAGTCATGGCCATGAAAAGCTAGAAAAATGGCTACCCATTTTATGTAGTGTGTAACAATTGATAAAGCTGTCATCTGAGGTAACTGGGGAGGTAGAACATGTATGCGATGAACTTTTCATATGAGTAAGGAGATTTCCGGGCAGACTGTTAAAGCATCAGTTGGCTCTTACTGCCTGCATATGATAAGGTGCTACAATAAAGAGATGAGCTAAATAAAGAACCAGTCCATTTGAAAGTAAAGGGAAGTAGTATACAAGGACCAGGACTTGTGTTAGAAAACACAATTGTTTCTAAACTCCCAACTCTCAAAGTGGTAAATTATCGAATGCCAGAAAGACATGGCCCAACATAAATATCAATCATGGATGTGGCTACAAACCTCCCTGTGAAAACATTTCAAATAATTCAGGTGGAGCCTGAAAGATCTTCTCAGCTAAATAAAAGGGCTTCTAGAGACCTTAAGGATTGTCCCTGAGAAGGCTGACACACCCAAAGTAGCACTGATTAAGTCTGGAGTAAAAAGCAGGCTTCAGACAGAATCATGGGTGTGGCTTTATTGCACACAGGATTTGAATCAGATGCACAAAAACCCATACAGTTTTAAAGGGAGCTTTGTAGGTGAAACTGCCACCTCCTGGACTCAATGAGTAAGGGACTTTTCAAAATAAAAAAGCATCTGGGCACCAACTTCCTACTAGTTTGTATTTCTTAGTTATGTTATTCTCTGTAAGGTTTTTCACATGAGAATTATTTAAACTCTTTTCCAGATGAAGCACTTTAAAAATATTTGAAAAATGAAAATTCAGGTTATGATTTCTGTCAAATATAAACCAAGTCATTAGCCACACTAAGATGATAGATTAAAACAGTACCTAAGTGCTGGAGCAGACCTTAGAAAAGAGAGTCATAAAATGAATGAATTAATGTTTGGGGAATACCAAAGAATTTAGCGTGGCTGGACCATGGAGTATTTAATCTGGAATGGCTAAGAAAGTATAAATATGTTAGATCAGGGAGGATTAAAAAGTGCCATTGTAATTTTTAAGATAAGGAATCAATGAGAGAGTGTCTAACATTTTTAACATGTATTTTAAAGTTTGGACATGGTCAGATCTAAATTAAGAAGACAATCCTGGCAGCATTTTGAATGGGGTGATTGATGACTGATAAAGATACTTCAGTAGACTTGCTATCATTTATATACTTATCATCTAACTATCTATCTATCTATCTATCTATCTATCATCTATCTATCTATCCATTTATCCATCCACACATATAGCTAGCTAGCTATCCTTCCATTTGTCTATCAATTTGTCTATCTGTCCTTCTAGTCCTTGAGTACCTATTGCATGGTAGGCAGGCACTGAGGTAAGTGCTGTATATACCAAACTAAATAACAGACTATGGAGCTTAGTGGGAGAGATAAAAATGCAGGAACAATTACAATTATACTACACAGTAGTAACACCTGCAACTGGTATACATGATCCAAACTGTGGGACCAGTGGAGACTTTTAAGGAGACTCAGTGCTATCAGGTGATGAAGAGGAGAGAGCGTATGCTTAATATTCCAGGCAAAGGGAATAACACACTTAAAGGAAAAAGGTCATGTCTCATTCCAGGAACTTCAGGTAGGCCACTGTAGCTAGAATATAAATACGTATTAGAAATAGAAAATGATGAGGTCCAAAAGGTAGGAAGGCCATATGAATCAAGGTCTTGTATGCTGTGCCAAAAATTTTGGAGTTTATCTTCAAGCACTGGAAAATTATAAAAGAACTTGAAATATGGGAAAGTGTATCACCACATTTGTGCTTTGGAAGAATCACTAAGGCAGCAATGTGTTGAATCAGATGGAGGAGGTTGGGCCGAGGGAAAAAGGAAAATGCATTTATTGTTTGAAGTAGTCTCAAAAAAAATGATGAAGATTCTCTTGACCCTTCATAGAGGTGGCTACAGACAGGGAAATCAAAAGAGGCATCATTTAATATCAAATCTAGTTAATAAATACTAGGTAATGAAACCAGAATAAAAGTTCCCCCAAATCAAGACCCACCCACCTATGTGGAGTAATCAGTGTAAGGACACAGTCTCATATTTACATATTTACCTAAAAATAAGAACCCTTCTTTCAGATCCCACTCTGTCCTATAACCAAGTTCTTGCATCAGATAGTAACTGAGGTAGGCCTACAGTCCTGATATACCCAGGGCCAAAGGAGGTTCTTTCAATTATCCCATCATTATGGAGAGTGCCTTAAGAATCCTTTCTGGTGCCTTAAGAAACCTTCCATGGCCCCTCTGCTGCCCTCTCTAGATGATAATGCTAAATCGAGTCAATTTTCTACCAGGCATGTGGGCCAGTCATATCATGTTTCTGTGGTCAAAATGAGACAGGACTATCTGCTCAAGTCTCATTATATCTTAGAGATGCCAACTGTTGTTTAACTGACATGTTTTTCTCTCTTCTCCTTGTAATTTTTGTTCTTCTTTTTTGCTTATGGAAACACATTTCTAATACACTCGAAATTTTCATCTTATTTCCATCATTAGCATACTATCTTTTGAAAGGGAGAAAACAGGTAATAGATTTGAGAAACATGTACAAGGTAGAATCAAGATGATATTTTGACCAAATTGATCCAGGGGTTGAGGAAGAGCAAAAAATTTGGGTTGATTTCCAGAGCTCCTGCCTGGATGATTGAGTAGCCATCCTTTATAAGGAAATATAGTAGATTCAGTTTTAAAGGGATTATTGTATTTGAAAAGTCTGTAGAAGATCTAAAATGAAAATGTCCGATTAAGCTATTATATAAGTAGATGTAGAATTAAAGAGCCTCTGCTTAAACATGACTTGTTAAGTATGAAGGTTAATACTATATTTCACTGAGTCTATTAAGGGAGGGCAGGGGAAGGGAGTGGAGGGGATGAGAGCAAAGAGAAACGAAGAGAGGAGAGGTCCTTAGGCATACCAACAAATAAGTGAGGAAAAGATATAAGATTCTTCATAAAAGAAAGAAGTTAATGCTTGGCCCATTGTAGCCCGGTATAAATGTTCAGTTTATTAAACTGTGGTCTACCATGTCAAAGTCTTTCTGAAATTAATAAGGGCCCCACATGCAACTGTGTTGGGTGGACAGTGGCAATAGAAACCAAAGTTTTGATCTTGGACAAAGTAGAGGATAAACAACAAACATAATTAGGGTTATTATAGATTTTGTTTAAAATCTGTTTCTCTATACATAATCATTAGTAGCATGCTTTAATCAGATGGGTTCTCCAAGAAGGAGATGCTAAGATGAAGTTAAGAGCGTAACAAGTTTATTGAGAAGTAATGTCTGCGAATGACAAAATGAGGAGGAAGCAGAAATGAGCAGGAAAAGCTTCAACTTGCGATATAGGTATGACACCAATAAAAATAAATGAAAGACATGAGGGTGGGGATGGTCGGGACAGGATTGACCAGGGAGAGCCTCAGTCTATAATGCAGATTTGAGAAAGTCTTAGTCAATCACACAGGGAGCTCCAGAGCAAAGATTATTGTTGGAAGGAATTCCCCTAGGTCAGGAATGACAGGCACTAGGGCAATCCAGGTAGAGTGAGGGCCTAAGGCTCAAGTAGGGTCCTGAAAGTTCTGCAGGAGGCTGTCAGCTAACTACATACTTGTAGCTGGACAGCACATTCTTTCTTAAAGAAGGATTAGAGCCGTGCACCTCCACGGGGACCCACAAACCCCTCTCACTCTCAAAACTGTCCTGATTTGAATGAGTTATACGGTTACTTAGGTCAAAACCATCATATCTCAGCCTATTTCCTTTATACGGCCATAATCTCAGTGGTTAGTACAGATGTGGGTTGATACCTTAAGTGAAAACAAACTCTCTCGGCTAGAATTTCACATCTAATTAAAATACACGGTAGGGATTTCTGATCCTCTGTAATGTCAGTTTATCCAAGGCAGTAGCACCTCAGGTAAGAAATTCTGACTAAAATGCAATAGGTTCCTAGACTTTAAATCAATAATTGTTTTCTGTTTGTTTCCCAGTGGATATGTTCGTAGAGTCTTTTTTTTTTTTTTTTTTTTTTGAGACAGAGTCTCGCTCTGTGCAGTGGCGCGATCTCAGCTCACTGCCAGCTCTGTCTCCCAGGTTCACGCTATTCTCCTGTCTCAGCCTCCAGAGTGGCTGGGACTACAGTCGCCCGCCACCATGCCCAGCTAATTTTCTGTATTTTTAGTAGAGACAGGGTTTCACCATGTTAGCCAGGATGGTCTCGATCTCCTGACCTCATGATCTGCCTGCCTTGCCCTCCCAAAGTACTGAGATTACAGGCGTGAGCCACCACACCTGGTCTGGTAAAGTCTTTTAAAACTGCAATGACAACCAGTAGAAGAGGTTAGGCTAAGGAAAGGAAAACAGGGCAATATAAGATTTCATGGTTATTTATCCTACTGTCAGCAGGCTCCTAAAATATACTTCTGCATATTGTAATGTGTGTAGCATTATACTTTGATGTTTCTTGGCCGGCTGGCCTCACCTGCTTAGATTAGGACAGATGTGTTTAATTTGATTCTAACCATGTTTTATGGTTCCATCTGCAGTTTATGGCAGATTCAGGCAAATTAAGCTCATGCCGATTTGCTTTTTGGCAACAGAATAAAGCAATTATTTTTCCCAGGGGCAAGAAATCATTGCAGGCTAAATTTAACTTACTGTTTGCCTGCTCTTTCCACCCACTCTCCAGAGTTCTGATCGGACTGCATGATTCTGCATGAAATCAACATTGTCTTCATTCTTCTCACTGACCTCCTACTTGTTGCCAGTCACCTCATGTTCAAGGTGATTTAGGCACTATCTTATTTTACTTCATTACCCATTTGCAATCCATGACCTTTTAACCTCAACAGCAAAGTGTGTGAGCACCTATAAAATACTACTTGGTATTGCAGAAGACAATGGTTAAAAAAAACCGAAAAGCCTAAAATAGGTACCTTTATGATTGTGGTTGTGCATTTTCTGTGAGCTTAGTATATAATTATACAACTTCTCATGCCATACAAAGAAGAAAATTCTATGTTGGTACTACTGAGAATCAGGTAGAAAGGACAGCTGATTTTGTTCACTGATAATTAAACTCTTGGATAGTTTGTGTTCAGGTTTCTTTATATGTTAGTGTTTGTCTCCAGTACACATATCAGAGAATTACTGAATCATTAATCACATATTCATATGCCACAAATAAATAAGGTAGCACTCACTGTAATAAAAGCCATGAGAGGAGGGAGAAACAGGCTGATGAGAAAAACAGCAAATAAAACTGGTTATTTATGACAGACAGTGAAGCAAGGCCTTCACAAGAGCTGCAAACTGAAGAATGAACTAGAATCAGTGGTGTTAAAGCCTAACGAAGAGCATTCTAGGCACAGGGAACAGGAAGTGGTCAGCCCTCATGATAGGTAAGACAGAGATGATTTCAGGAACAGAAAGGAAGACAGGGGAAAAACTCTCAATAAGTGTTTATTGCCAGCAACACATTTTTAATAGAAACTGATTGATAATTTAAAGCCCAACATTTGATCCTCTGTGTTCCTGGTAATCAAGGGCAATTCTACTAAGCTTACTCTTTATATGCAGTAAACATCTACTGAACATATACTATTGTATTAATATTTACAGGCTAATGTACTTATGAATTTACATGTTGAACTCTTTCTTACATATTAATGTATTTACATAGTACTGTTAATGTATTTATGTATTGACAGTTATATAAATATCCTAATAATTTATTTAGATGAATGCATGCTTCTCCATTTTCTCTGCTCTTTTCAAAGTGCTGGCAGCCACCTAGAATATGTCTGCACCATCATCCCTGCCCTCTCTCCATTTCTGTAAAGAAATTTGTATACAGATATAGAAGTAAAAGCAAAAAAGTAGTAATATATCACCACAGAATGTTACCTCACTAACACAAGACATTATTAAATTTCTTCAATATCTCAACAAACTAAATGTGAAGAACATTGCAATACATACTTACATATGGAAAAGTAAAATGCAGAGACAATTTAAATTCATGTTTTGCATCTGTGACAATGCAGCTCTGTGCATTACAACCTCATCTTCAATCTATTGCTTTCTTGTTGAACTGTACTATCATTTCACTTAAAAACTGAAAGAAAATAAAGGTTTTGCCTTCTATTGTAGAAGCGAGAGTTTTGAACCAATCTATAGACAGAATATTTGACAAAATGAGCCAACTCTAGTACACAAGTGAGTAATAATTCTAGTTAAAATTAGATAAAGTTCATGAGAATTTGCATACTCAAATTGGTAAAACTCACAGAAAATGTTAGCACCCTTATGACTTACTACCTGTGAAATTGTGTGGAACAAAATAAATGTCATTTTTAAAAATCAACAATAGCCTCACAATTTGCTTTTGTGCCTCTTTAGAGACCATTTGTGTTGAATATTGATATTTCACTTGTTGAACATTCTAATGAGTTTGATGCATAGGTTTTGATTTAAAGCTTTTTCTCACAATTAAAGCTTATGAGTGTGGCCAATTTAAATTTCAAATAAATTTGTTAAGAAGGTGCAATCTGATTCTTACCTTCATATGTACTTTAAAAGTAAATTCTAGTTATTATTGCAGACCACCTTGCAATTTGGAAGTATACAGAAGGAAATAAGATACAAATGTCAATAGGAATAATTATATCTTCATTGATAGAATCTGCTATTTTACTGGTAAATCATTAGACATCCTTGCAATAAAAGACCATCCATTTCTCCACCTCAGTGTCCACAGAATCCAAAAATAACCACAGAAGACAAAAATCAAATAAATGAACAAAGAAACCTCTTAGACTTAGACTCACTCAAAACCACATTAATGCTAATTTAAAGCAGGACATCTCTTAGATGTTATCCAGTGGTTTGCCTCACTATTTTTAAGACATTTTTCTTTTTAGCTAGGTTTTCAAATGCTAAGGGTATATTGGGCTGAAGAAAATAAGGAGAAAATCTGCTGTTCAGTGTTGACTATTTGAATTTCACAGCTGATGACATAAGGCTTCAATCAAGGTCTACTGGATAAAAAGACAAAAATGTTTTGGGCTCTAACATTTTGAAAAACAAAATCTTTTTGCATATGTTTTAGTTTAAAACACTCTGGAAAGTCCCTTAAAAGAACCTACAGTTTCTAGAATTGAAAAGGACATTCGAAATGAACTAATCCAGTGGTTCTCAGACTTTACTGCATATTAAAATCACAGGGCCGGGGGAGGCTTTTCAAATATCTCATGCCCAGTCCAGTTAAATCAGAATCTCTGGGGATGGTTCCCAGCCCTCCACAGTTTCTTAAAGCTAATCCAAATATCTCAATTTATTCAAGAAGAAGGAGAAAGGAATAGGAAAAACCAAGGAAGAAAAGGAAGGAGGGAAAGAGGAAGTTTGGAAGTTAGTTTGTATTTTCTTGCCTTTAATTGGGAGAAAGGCAAATGAGGAAGGTATTTATGTGACTAGCTTTCTTTGTTAATTCACTGAGTTAAGAAAAAAATCATTTGCAGGAAGCTACAATCAGCAAATCATAAATAAGGGCACTCACTATGTTAGGGAAAATAGAATAGCTACTATTTAATATTAACATACATTCCCTACAAACATGTAATCCTTACAAAATAAGTAGCGAAAATTTTGTAAATAACCAGGAAATTCAACCATAAACTACAATTCCCAAGGTTGGTTGGTTTTTTTTTTTTTTTTTTTTTTTTTTTTTTGAGATGAAGTCTCACTCTGTCACCCAAGCTAGAGTGCAGTAGTATGATCTTGGCTCACTGCAACCTCCGCCTCCCAGGTCAGGCAATTCTCATGCCTCAGCCTCCTGACTAGCTGGGATTACAGGCATGTGCCTTTATGCTCAGCTAATTTTTTGTAGTTTAGTAGATATGGGGTTTCACTGTGTTGTACAGACTGGTCTTGAATTCCTGAGCTCAGACAATCTGCCTGCCTCAGCCTCCCAAAGTGCTAGGATTATAGGCATGAGCCACCGCGCCCCTGGCCCCAAGCATTTTTGACTATATTATTTCTACCTATGAAGAATATCCATCCAATCATTAGTTAATATTTACTGAAGCCCATCTATATGCCACTAAGTCATAATTACTGCACATATTATAGGGCCCATGATGGACAAATTCCTATTCTCAAAGACTCTCACAAAAAGACACAAATAAGTTGATAAATAGTTACCACTGCTTGTTAGGTCCAAGAAAGCATGAGAGAGGGCCACCAAACCCAGAACTGTGAGTCAAGAAGCCTTCTGAGAGCAAGTGACCTTCCATTAGAGACCAGAGTGAGCACCAGTGTTGCACAGTTCTGAGGGCTCAGTTTAGCTAAGGGCCAAGAAGTACTGTCTTGCTTTAGAAAAGGTGATGTTCCTTGATGACCTAGATGAAGGCACATCCACAGGAGTGGTAGGCATCAGTGCCAGCCTGAAGTAGGTTAAAGAATCAAAGGGGTAGGTGTATTAGAAGTAATGATGCAATTCTTTCAGGAGTTAGATGAAAGCATGGCAGTGTGTTATGCGGGATATACCACCGTGATTTAAGAAAATCGCACGGGGCAGAGTTGGCATCCTACTCTGCTACTCTCTAATTATTCTGTGTTTCTAAATCATTGTTTGCTTTTTTGAAAAATGGTAATGGTAAAGGTTAAATGTTAGAATGCAGGTTACAAGTTTAGTGAAGTTCCTGCCATAGAAAGTGCTCAATAAATGTTAGTCAAATACCTATAGAAATCTAGTGGGACACATTTTGGAAATATATTTAAAACATCAGAAACCTGATGATGTAGGTGCTGATAGAAGCAACTACTAGAAAGAAGTGGTTAAAGAAAACAGTGGAGAAGGAATAATCAGAAGGGTGAGAGCATGTGTACAAATACGATGAATGAGCCTCGGAGTACATATGGAAGGATTCAGCTTTGACTCAAGGAGGAAGATGTACCAGGAAGTTTGAGCCTGGATGACACAAACTGAAGGAGTTCTGGCCAGGAATGATGGCTCATGCCTGTAATCCTAGCACTTTGGGAAGCTGAGGCAGGCAGATTGAGACCAGGGGTTTGAGATCAGCCTTGCCAACATGGTGAAACCCTGTTGAGTTAGAGGTATACTAAAAATGCAAAAATTAGCTGGGCATGGTGGTGTGCATCTGTAGTCCCAGCTACTCGGGAGGCTGAGGCATGAGAATCCCTTGAACCAAAGAGGTGGAGGTTGCAGCGAGCCGAGACTGTGCATCTGCACTCCAGCCTGGGCGGCAGAGCCAGACTATGTCTCCAAACAAACAAACAAATAAATTGAAGGAGTTCCCATTTGAAGTTTTCTGTGTAGTAGGCTGCTGCGAATGTGATAGGACCAGAAGTTTGAGAAGGATAGAAGGTAACATGCGCATGCAGTAAATAGAAGGTTGTTGCCTGGGAAAACATAGAAAAATGATGGAGGGAAAGTACTGAGGGCCCACACAAGAACTTAAAATGTCAACATGTACCCCACTGTGTATCTGGTCAGAGCTCAACAGCTGAGGTAGTGCAGGCACGCAGCAGATGATGGATCCAGGCTTGTGGTTTTACCAGATAGGTGTGATGAGGGTCGACAGCAAAGGAGTGACACCTGACCACTTTATGTTTGTTGAAAAATACACAATATAGCTTACTGAACTTTACGCTTTTAGATAATATATTTTTGTAATTATGCAACAATTACAAACCCAGAAAATTGTTCTTTCAGAGAAGATTGCAGCTCTTCAGTTGACAGCAGAGGACAAACTAAAATATTGAATTTAGCTGCTGTATATAAATAATGCAGCACATCATGATGGCAACAGTTAGTCCATCAATCTCTGTCAAGAACACAAACTCATACTGACTTTATAAAAACAATCAAGTGCTACAAAAAAGATGAAATTCAGTGCCACGTCCAGCTGTAGAAGTTTCACAGAATCTTCTTATTTAGATCTTAGATTGTGAATTCTTACTTTTTCTAAGCGTAAATCTGGTCAGTCACATATAAAAATAACCTCCAAGGAAAACAAGTCAAACACAAGTTGGTTAACTTGATCACTTATTAAGCAAAGTCACCTAAAAGAAGAACAGAACATTTTGCTAATCACTAGATAAAACTGTTATATCAATTTTTCAGGCAGAAAGGTATGTAATGTTAAAATTACAGAAAAAAAATTGCAAAGCCTAATTTCATGCTTTAATTATATCTTGTTTAAAAAGTCATAATTTAAGACAGCAGTAGAATGTCTTAGTTTCAAGTTACAGCATGTAAAAGCCAAACGGGTATCTTTTACTGTTGAGAATTTATACCTTATACTGCAGCCCCAACTATTTACTGCCAGGATGTTTTAAGTCACCTCATTGCATAACATTATAAACTATGTTGCCAAACTTGACTGTATATGCTTATCTATTTAGTGGTTGGCAAATACAGAGACATCACAAAAATTAAAAGTGGTACTCTTTCAACTGAAAATAGTCAATAGACAGCTAGTTAACTTTGGAAAAGAAATCATATTTTAAAAGTCAGGTTTAGATCTTGACGAAATTTTGTAAAAAGTGAATGATTTCATACACACCTTTTACAACGTTTTCACATGAAGACAACGTTTTATAAAAGAGTTGATATATGTTCTAATTCCAAAGAATCTCTAAAGTTCTATGAAGTAAGTCTTTTTATTCACAGCCACAACAGTCTTAGGGAGCAAAAACACAAATCACTTTGATAAGGCACCCCTCTGTAGACAAGCTTACTGATAAACATGAGAACAAATGAGCTCTTGAATTCTTTAACAAACATGGAATCTGTTATTCAGATTTAATGGCTATATGGCCAATGCGTTTCCTTAATGTATGGGAGTTCTTGACAAGGAAAGACAACTGAGCAATTAACTCAGTGGAAGTCAGAAATTATGGGTGTTTTGCCACTTTCTTGGTTTCCAACAGGTGTCAGGTTATTGCTGTTAACACTCCAATTTGCATCTTTATAGGGAACAACCTAATTGTAAGGAGAAACTCAAAGTGCCCTTTCTTCAGGAGTTACAGTTGCCTTAATGGAATTCCATTTAGAATACATGCTTTTACACTAAGTAAACCACATAAATATTTAGGAAGTGGGGTTTTGTTACCTCTCTGGGCTACCAAATAAAATGTGACTTGCTGAAAAGAAGACATTAAGCACAGAAAGGGACAACTCTTTAAGAACTTGAATACATTCAAAAACCCATTGCCTCTATTCTATCAATAGCCTCACTGCATTGGGTCACACAACATGACCACTTAGTGGTATTCAGTCTCTGTATCCCTCCTGTCCTCATTTTTGTGATGATTTGGTCCCATCAGATCCTTTCCAAACCCTGAGCCAGCCCCAACATGAAAGAGGAGGGCTTTATGCAGCTCTAACCCAAAGCTCAGAAACCAGCACTGGTTTATCTCTGCTATTGAAGAGGCTTTGACCTTATCTGTCTATCTCTTTTCTCATTGGTTGAATTCTCTACACAGTTTTGTCAGAGACTCTCACGGGGTGGTATGCGTGCAGTTTAGTATCATCTTGGGTACAGGGCTTCAAGTTATATAAAACCTTGGGGAACTCCTATCCCAGGTCCCATGTAGCTCTGTTTTGACATGACTGCCTTGGCAAGGAACTAATGGGGATACCTCTGATGCTCTCAGAGTTTGGGAGGATAAAAAAGATCTTGAACCACTTGTATATAAATCCTCTTTTCCACCTTCCTCTCTCTACATTCCTATTACTTATAACTAGCCTTAGGCCTAAAATCACACAAACTGTTCCTGACAAATTTTTCTGGCACAAATTACCTGCTTGCACAAATCCCCAAATTTCATATACCCTTGGATTCTTCTATTCCATTTAGTAGCCTATTTGTTAGTATATTTTATCATTTTATAGTAACAGTAGTTATTTTTGTGCCTTCACTATGTACCAAAAATTATACTAAGTGTTTTATGGGTATTATCACATTTAAGCTTCATAATATCCCTGTGGGAAAATTCTCTGATGTGATAAACCTCATTTTACTTATGGAAAAAATAAATTTTATGAATTGGTATAATTTATCCAAAGACACAGAACAGTAAATGGTAAAGTAGTATTCACATACAAACAACATGGCTTCAGAAATGAAATCTGTGTGTTGGAATGGTTTCCCTTGCCTTTAGTCTTCACTTTCTCCCTTCACCTCTTCAAGTTCTTCACCTTCTTCAAGGTCTCTTCATTCTCTACCCTGTGGCCAATTATTTAATATTGTTGTGTATTGCCCACCCTTCTTATCTTTTGGAAAGCTTTGGCCTCTTGCATTAATCTTCTCATCACTTGCATATGTGATCTTCCTTTTGTGAAAATAGGAATAATTCTGGGTTTCAGTTTGCAGTTATTAACATGGCTATGCCCCTTAGTATGATAATTTATCCTCCTAAGGTGGGTAATGCTTAGTGTTTCTAGAAAGTAATGGCAGACACATGATAGTAGCGCAGATACCAGAATAGACCAGCTTTCAAAAAGATGCTAGAAAGATATATTGGTTCCATACTGAGTTTTATTTGAGTATTACAAAAGGAACCCATCTATGGCTTCCAATCTTCCTTGGAAAATTTTTTGAATGGCCACAGCATATGAATCATCATTTGAGTTGAGAGTGACAAGTCTTGGACAGTAGTTGTTTCAAAGCAGGTTCAATATGTATCTGAACAAGGGATTTCATACATACATTTGAATGTATTTATGTATATGCTCTCTTACCAAAAAAAAGACAATGATGACAATAAACAATCACATGAAAATGATAAAATATATGAAATGACAAAATGACAGTAATGGAGCCTTTGGAAGCCTGAGGTTGCACATCTCAGTAATAATTTGGCCAAAGGCCAGGCTCTGTGGCTCATGCCTGTAATCCTAACACTTTGGGAGGCCGAAGCAGGCAGACTACCTGAGCTCAGGAGTTCGAGGCCAGCCTGGGCAACATGTTGAAACCCCATGTCTACTAAAATACAAAAAGTTAGCTGGGCATGGCTGCGTGTGCCTGTAGTCCCAGCTACTCGGGAGGCTGAGGCAGGAGAATTGCTTGAACCCGGGAGGCAGAGGTTGCAGTGAGCCAAGATCGCGCCACTGCACTCCAAGCTGGGTGACAGAGTGAGATCTCGTCTCCAATAAATAAATAAATAAATAAATAAATAACAATAATAATTTGGCCAAAAAGAGTTAACTGTCCTTTGATAATGATCCTATCTCATGGCAGGTGTACATAAAATAGAGCTGTTAGCAGAATAATGAGCAACTTCTGGACTACATGGCTTAAGAGCTTTTTTTCCTGTTGTGAATGATACTTTAAGCAACAAAGTCAACTATGCATTCTTTCTGCAAACACCAGTCCTTTCTGAATCCATGTTATGCTTAGAAAAATAAGATTATAACCATTTACACGAGAGTAAAATGGTTAATCACTGAAAATTTAAAGCATACATATTTAAAATGACACAGCAAGGATTTCAGACATAGATATCAATATATTTCTAATGATATGAACTACTTCCTTCAGCTAACCTTTATTTGACATTGATATTAGTTTTTAATTCATTAATGTTGCACAAGAAGCTGCTCTGTACATAAAGATTTTCCCTTAGGTTTTTAGATAAAAATAACACCTCTGTTTCACTTAGCATCTTTGATGATTCACGCACTTTTATTGTTAGAAAAAATAAGAAAATCACCTATATTCACAAGATTTTAACCATGGCAGTATAATTCAGGGGCATATATTATCAATCACCACTTCGTACTGTTCCATTATAAAATTCAATACATCTTTCTAATTCTAAAAATAGTGTAAGCTCACTGTAAACAGTTCAGATAATGCAGTAATAGGGAAAGCACAAAGCACAAATTCTCTATCATCCCATATCCCATCACTAATTTGAATTATAGTCCACAAATCTTTGTCCGTTTAGCTCTATTCATTCTAATCAATTATTTTCATTTTAATAAAAAATAAAGACATATCTTCCTGAAAAAGTTTAAAAAGTTATTACATGAACTTTAAACACCCTCTTCTTTTTGTTCCCTCATCATATATGTAGCCACTGTTAGCTCATTTTATGTATCCTTTCTGAAAATTTATATATGATCTCTTTTATGTTTCTTTCACACGAATGGACAGAAATGGCACATTGTTCCATTTCAAGTAATTTTTGCTTTGCAATATGTCTCAGAGATTGTCAGCACAAAGCCATTTCACTTTTTTCAGCAAATATATGGTATTCAAAAATATGAATATGTCAAAATTTATATGTAGTTCTATACTATTGGACATTTAGGAGGCTTTAATTTTTTCCTTTTACAAAGTATTTATGAATCAATCACCCTTGTACAAATATCTCTGTGAACTTTTACTTGTACAGGAAATATAACCTTAGACATAGACATATCATTCAAAATTTTTATTCTGTCTAGTATCCTTTCAGAAATATTATCTCAATAAAGAATACTACTAATAGTATATCACTTTTAGTTATGGTTGGTGGCATTGCAGCTGGGACTGTCTCCAAATTAATTTATATTAGTGTAAGCAATATGTTCATATGATTTCTGTTTCTCCACAATAGTAATTTTGCAAGGTTGGCTCTAACAAGATGAACTCTGAGTTCTTATGATCTAGGAATAAACAATAAAGTCAGATCTACTTTATTGCATAACTAATCCAAAAGATACAGAAATCTGGGGGCTCTTAGAGCTTTATTCTGGACATTATCCCCAAAGTTAATGCAACTGTTGGCAATTTTCCCAGACCTAGGGTTAGGAAGCTCAAGAGGCATATCAGTAGACACTAAAGAGTTTCCAAACTACCTGGCCTGCCATCTTCTCTAATCTCCCCAACGTTCTTCACTTTAAGTTTGGGATAACTCTTTATACAGCAAATGATGAGAATTTGTAAAGATGGGGTCACTAAACAAATGCTGTTGGATCTTGTCAAGTCCTTTGTTAAATGAAAAAGCAGTGTATGCTCTATGATCTCTCTCTAAAGTTGGAGTAAGCGAGAGAAAAATCTAGAAGGATATGTGCAAAAATATCAACGTTAGTTATCTCTAGATAGTGAGATCACAAGGGTATTTAAATATTCTTCATTGTGTTTATCTTTATTTTGTAATGTTTTCTACAATTATATGCACTGATTTTTTATAATAAGAAAAAATTTAATTTAAAAACTCACAACCTATAAAAACCCAATTAGCAGCAAAGTAGAAGCAGAAATGATAACTACTAAGGTTGAATGGAAATAAACAAAGGTTAGTGAGTATCATGATGGGCCATGAATGTTAAATGTTTCCTTAATGTAGCGAATACTAAACGTGGGATCTTCAGGAGCCCAGCACATTCTCATCAGACATACATTGCAGATGTGAAATATTTAGGTTTATCATAGCTGTTTAACTCATAAGCCTAAGGATATATACACATCTGTCAGTAAATTTATTGATATTATTTGCTTACCTTACCATGGGGTTTGTCAACTTATAACACCTCTTTGACAAAACTAATGCATAAATTAATTCTAGAACAATTCTTATTTTCATTAATATGTATACTGAGAGGGTGAAATTTGTATTTGCTTTAACGAACACCAACAACATACTAACCACTAAGAACGAATCATGTGGCAAGCACCGTTCTAAGTTCTAAGCACTTTATAAGATATTATCTCTCATGAACTTCACAATCATCATAGGCCATGAATGCTACTATTGTCACCATTTTGTAATAAAAAAAGTTAATAAAAAGTAACTTACAACTTTAATTTCTTATTCTCCGACCTAGAGCCTGACAGAAAGAGTGAAGTGATATCCGTGGAGAAGGCAGACATGAAAATATCATAGAAACATAAATAACGGTCTAGATTACTTATACAGCCAAACCTGAAAAAAAATCCCTAGTCATTCATCAATCCCTTCATTCACTCAAAGAACATTTATTGTGCTCCTACTGGATTCAAAGTGCAGGGTTAATTCGTATGAGTTATACCACGAATTTGTGACACAGTCCTGGTCTACCCAATTTATTCTTTAAATTTTATCTAAATATTTTAAAATTCATCTTTTCTGAGACTTTCTAAAAGAAGAGAAATAGACCTAATTGACCCTATTTGAAAATACCACATTATTAATAAGTATTGTAATATGAAATTAGATGTGAAATTAGAATGCCCGTTTAACTATCACTTAAAATAAAGGAGAGACCTGGCTAACACGGGGAAACCCCGTCTCCACTAAAAATACAAAAAATTAGCCGGGCTTGGTGGTGGGCGCCTGTAGTCCCAGCTACTCGGGAGACTGAGGCAGGAGAATGGTGTGAACCCGGGAGGCAGAGTTTGCAGTGAGCCGAGATTGCGCCACTGCACTCCAGCCTGGGCGACAGAGCGAGACTCTGTCTCTACAAATAAATAAATAAATAAATAAATAAATAAATAAATAAATAAATATAAAATAAAGGAGAGACTTAGTCTATTGCAGAAGGAAAATTAATGCTGATGTTCACAGGATCCCTTATAAATGATTTATGTGCCTTGGGTTGTCCCCATGAAGCCCCCAGTCACTGATATGTTGTAAGCTTGTAAGCTACTGAAATTTACTTACCTCTGGAAAAGAAAATCTATTTTATGTTCACTTAAAACCCCTTATCAAGTTTTTCACTTTGATTAATGAAATTATGTTTCATGCTTTTTCAAGTAATTACTTAATTACTAAATCAGCTACAATCCAATACCATTAGGAATAAAATTCAATTTTAGTAACTTTATTGGTGTGATAAAATCTAAAAGCATTTCCAGGGTCAATATAGAAACTCCTCAGGCAGGATGGCATAAATTGATAGCAGTCAAAGGAATTACAGACCACATCCTCAACTGTGGAATGATTCCATTTTGGATACTTAGTTACTGCTTTTTTCTCAGAAGATTTTCTCGGAGCTTTTCTTCTTCTTAGCTTAATTTTAAAAAGTTTTGTTTTGTTCTTTTACAGGAAGAAAATCTGGAACTACTGACAATGTAATGATTAAAAATGTGGAGTTAAAGCTCAAGAGGAATGCAAGCATATGCAATAACAACGCTCACACTTAGGTTAGCCTTCATCGGCTTTCTTGTAACTTCTTTATTTGTTAATGTGAAGAAGGAAATATAATTATTTATATTTTTGAATCTAAACATAGTGTTTTTCTATAAGGGCTTAAAAATCCAGAAACTGATGAGATCAATTGAAATTTTAAAATCTTCTAGTTACTACCTAGGCAAATTTTCCAAATCCAAATAATTTCTTTAACTTCATTGTCCTAATGTACAAGATAAAAATAATTATATATTATAATTATAAATACCTCACCAACCTCCACGTAATTGTCATAAAGATAAAAATATACGCTAAAGTCCTTTTTCAAGTCTAAGGAGGTTTTAACTTATTTATCAAAGATTTGTTGATATTAATAAGCAATTTATTGAATATTTCCTATGTACCAGGAAGCATATCTAGTAACTACACATATGTATGTGTAGGTATATATATGCACATATATAATTCATTTAATACACAAAATAAACATGAGGTTGGCCTTAATATCAGCATTTCACAAGTGAGAAAGTAGTTTAAGAGGCTTAGAATTTTGCCTAATAAATGCAACTCATAAATGGTATAATTCAACACCAGGCTTACCGAGCTATCTGATATTCTATGCTAGGGTGCCAGTTGCTTTGAAACCCAAAAGAATCTGAATTTAGACAGCTGGAGAGAAGTTGTAATTGTTATCTGAACACATTTTTTAAACAGCACTATAAAAATCCTAATTATCTTTGCAAATATAAGATGGAAGTATGAATTATTTTTTTTTTCCTGGAAGCTGCCACGATGGATGTCTTGATTAATATTTCCTAAAGAAAATGGAATGTATGGTTACCACATTGTGTCAACATTGTTGTGTTATTTTAGAAATGTATTGACTTGGGAGTGGCCAGTGTCTCAACCTCTGTTTCTCTACAGTTTTCTCGGCTTTGCTTGTCTCCAGTATCTAGTTAGGATCAGAGGCATTTTTCATACAAGGCTAAAAAGACAAAAGCAGTAATTACAGATTCACATCCAAACCCCATGATATCCAGAAGAAGTCAGGGAGTAATAAGCATCCTTTAGTAAGAGCAAGGAAATTTCTTTTCCAAAAGAATTGGAAATTTTTCCCTCACTACATTTCGGCCCTCAATGTACAATGCCAGATTCCTGACCCAATTCCTATCTTTAGGGCGCTAATGGTCCCAAGCCTGAGTTCCTGAATCAATCACTCTGCCAAAGAGAAAGGGATTTCCTTTAGAACAATTGTTCTGCTCTCCTTAGGCAGAGCAACATGAATCTGCTCATAATGAACCCTGTCAGACTCCTGGGTTCACACCTAGCTTTCCCACATACTTAAGTCCCTTAATCTCTTCATGTTTTGCTCCCACGTGTAAAAAGTGAGGATAATAACAGCGTCTGCCTGATAAGGTGGTGGTAGGCATTAAAGAAGTTAATATTCATAAAAATGTTTTTAAAATGCCTCACACATAAAATAAGTGTTACTTAGGTCTTAAATAAACCCATGAAATCTACTTGAATAGTGAGAAACACAGCATTGCCACAGTGGCCTAAAACTTCTCAACCACACATCTTTTGTTTTAGAGTCTCTATGCAAATGTCCCTTTTAATGTCTATTTTCACTTCATTAATGTTTCTACCACACTCCTCAAACACACGGTGAAATCAGCACCATGGTTTGTCTACTTCTCATGGTGCTGGATTCTTTCACGCCTCTAAATAGTTCTACATATCTATCTCCTTGTATTTCTATACCTTTATAATATGAGAAGGAGTTAGGCCACCCTGTTTTGACACCTGCACAACTCTTTATTATAACCCCAGTACTTGTTAATATTCTTCCCAGTGTGTACATCTATGCCTTGTTGTCAATATTCTGTCAAGATTTTGACCACAGGTGGGGATGATCTAACCTATTTTTCCCCTATCTTTGTCCATCTGCTTTTACTCCAGTTGTTATAGTTCTGATTTGAAAAGTGCTATTTGAATTAGAGCATCCTAAAATATTTTATTTATTTATTTTTTATTTCTTTTAGAGACAGCGTCTTGCTCTGTCACCCAGGCTGGAGTTCAGTGGTGCAATCATGGCTCACTGCAGCCTCGAACTTCCAGGCTCATGTGATTCTCCTTAGCCTCCCAAGTAGGTAGCACTACAGGTATGCCCACCACGCCCAGATAATTTTTAAATTTTTTGTAAAGACAGGGTCCCACTGTGTTGCTCAGGCTGGTCTTGAACTCCTGGACTCAAGCAATCCTCCCACCTTGGCCTCCAAAAGTGCTGGGATCACAGGCTTAATATCACACCAGGCCCTAATATATTTTAATATCATTTTTACTTTCAACATTTAACCTCTCTATGGTCACTATTTCCCAGTAACATTCTAGACCAATTTTCACAAATATTGAGATGATTTTAAGTAGTTGAAAAAATGCTTTATGTATTTCTTTCACTATTCATCAGAAAAAATAAAACCAGCATATGAAATCTATTTTAAGGATATTATTGCTAATTTCATTTTAGTAAAATGTGGAATAATTTTTTTAATGTTAGTTTTTACTTAAAATGGTGGTAAATGGACATAGAAAAAATTCTGGCTATCAGAACAAATGACTGATTTTTGGAAACACCAAAAACAGTGATAACTACACACATACACACACACACAGACACACACAGACACACATACACATACAGACACACACAGACACACACACACACAAAGAGAGAAAGACCTTCAGAGCACAGTAGTAATCAGAGAGGTAATAATAAAGAATTCATTGCATTTTATAGCAATTTAATTCTTTTAGTGTATGCTCATAAATGTATATGTTACTGCCAGTCTCGCAAAATAACCCTTTAGTTTAGTATAAGATATACTCATAAAATTTCAGAGACAAAAAGGACCCCAGAGACTGTATTCTTCATGAATTCTTTGCTCTTTAAATGTTTAAAAGGAGGTCTAGAAATGTAATGACAAGTCACACAGCCAGGTGGCGGCACATTTTTGGATTGGAATCTTAATCTCCAGATCCCCAAATCAGTGTTTGTTAGTTTGTTGGTGTTTTTACTGTACCAAACCACCTACTCCATAGTTATTCTTCTGTTAAGCGTGGAAAAAACTGTGGCTCTAGTGCTAAGGCAAGACTAGAAACCAGTTTCAATGAGTCAAGCCCCATACTATTTCTCCTATCTGCTAAGCCACAAATATGAGAGTGTCACAAAATCCATTTTCCTACAATCATATAGTAGAACATGATTATTGTCAAATGTGCAAAATAATTATCACAAATATCTTGTACCAGTTTTTGATGTCTTACCTAAGCCACTCTTATTTAAAATAGTTTGTTCTTTTAGCAGCACAAGAAGGAAATTAGAGGTAGCTATATAAAATGTATTAACATTCCCTTAGCAATCAATCTCAATTATGTATAAGTTATCATGTGTTGGTCTCATTTACAAACTGAATTTCTACTGACTATTTTTCTCTTATTTCCAACTGAATTGGTTTTAGTGTGGGATATCTGTGCTAGATCTTAAAAGAACTCTCTGGGAGTTCTTTAGCTTTATTCTTAAGGCAAGCGAAAGAGGTGATAATCTAGAATACTTGCAGCTCAAATAAGTGATTAAAGAAGCATCATTATTCACAGACAGTGGATATGAAAGGATTGCAACAAGTAGGCAACCATATTAACTGAGTCCCTAGAGGGAGGAAGTGGATGATTTTGACAAATGCATGCTCCAAAACAAAGACCTGATAGGTAAAATGCAAAAGTAATTGTTGAGCATCAACATTTTTCTTGTCACATAGATCTATTAACACTAGTTCAGGGTCTCATTATGGAAAGACTGAACTGCTTTTTATTCACTGGATTTATACATTTGCTGCAGGGAGATTTTCTAGTTTACATTTTTCATTGCATGACTATTCAGTAAATATTCTGCTTGTGTTGCTGGGATCTCTCTTACAGTCCTGAGTCTTGCAAAGCCACCCTGGAGTCATCCACTGTTTTCCTTCCTACACACCTTTCTGGGTCTTTTTGGGCTGCTCTTTGCCATCTCATCCTATCTTATCTCATTCTTTTGTTGGCTGCTTATTCACATACATTTGTATGTAGAACTTCAGTTTTCTTAAAATTACACAGAAAATCCCCAAATGAGAAATATGGTCCTCTTGCTGCAATCCAGTTTTAGAAGATTGGTGTGAGAGTGTGCCTAAATTTATAGTCAGATGAATTTTTTAAAATATTTACATTTTTTAGATGATTGTAAATTTTGAACACAAATTCAAGATGTGCTTTCAGAATTGTCAGCTCTGGTTAACTTTCTCCATATACAGTACTTAATCTCTAACTATTCTGTAATTGCTTTTCTGTAACTTTTAATCGTTTCCTTCATAATCTTACTCAAGCATTTGCTTTTTGATCTGTTTATTTAGATTACCAATGTCTTTATTTTCTCTTGCCATTGCTTTGATTATATACTTATTTTTTTTAATTGAGATGGAGTCTTGCTCTGTCACCCAAGCTGGAGTGTAGTGGCGTGATCTTGGCTCACTGCAACCTCTCCCTCCCTGGTTTAAGCAATTCTCCTGCCTCAGACTCTGGAGTAGCTGGAATTACAGGTGCACACCACCACGCTCGGCTAAATTTTTTTTTTTATTTTTAGTAGAGATGGGGTTTCACCATGTTGGCCAGGCTGGTCTCAAACTCCTGACCTCGCGATCCACCCGCCTAGGCCTCCCAAAGTGCTGGGATTACAGGCTTGAGACAACACGCCTGCCGATGATATACTTACTTTTTGACTTTATGTTCATGTCAAGTATTTTTAGTTATATATAGCACACTCAAAGAATAAATAAACTACATCAGGCATCTTTTAACCATTTAAACTTTTCAAACATATTACGCATAATAATCACTACATTGTTATTCTGTAATCTTAGCCCCTTAACACCAGTAGTCTATAAAATGCTACTTATTACATAAAGTAAACCATTTTAAAAGTTAAAAAGCTGATGTCACCTTTTGCTTAAACATTTTAATTATTGGCTGCAATGAATGGAATGTTTACATCCCCCCAAGATTCATATGTTGAAATTTTAACCCCCAAGGCGATGGTATTAAGAGGTGGGGCTTTTAGGCTGTGATTAGTGTCCTTATAACAGAGACCCCAGAAACTTCCTTGCCCTCTCTGCTACGTGAGGTTATACCGAGAAGAGAGCCGATCTCTGAGGAAGCAGACCCTCACAGACACAAAATCTGCGGACACCTTGATCTTGGACTTCCAGCCTCCAGTACTGTGAAAAATAAATTTCTGTTTTCTAATAAGCCACCCAGTCTATATTATTTTGTTACAGCAGCCCAAATAAGATATTGATTATTTGCTATTTTATATTATATTAAGAACTGCATTTATTTGTAAAAATCTTGCCATTTGCCTACTTGTGTAGCTACACCAGTTGTTAAGATCAGTATTTGAAATATACTGTTTACTGCCTAACATTTATAAGACATAATTCAGTATGAGTGCCATAACTTTTCATTGATTCATTCACTCAACATATATTTTAAGAACCTACCTTTGCTTCACATAGTGAAATACCAACTTATCATAGACATATATTTTAAATTTATATCATTTACACAGGGGCTTTGTAAAATATTTTTCTCAAAAAATTGAGCTAATAAAAATCAAATCAAAATTGATTTTTTTAATGTAGAAATCCTTTTCAATACAGGAAATAAACCCCTTTTTTTGAAAGTTAATACGCATGATAATGTAATTATTGGAAATTATGAAGGTCCTTTTACCGTAGTATACCCCAACATACAATCCCTGAAGATTCAACCTTTTAATTTCTCCATCCATGTCACTGGAAATCTAATAAAACCTGTTTGTGTGTACCATATTTTCCCCAAATAACTCAAAGTGGTTATGTAAATATCTTTTTTTAAGTCACAGCTCATATCAATCACGTAGTCTAGTCTGTTGTCTCTATTTTATAAATGGAAAGTTAGACGCAAACAGACAAAAAGGCAAATGTCTAAGCAAGATTTTAAGGATGAGTAAGAGTTTATGTATGAACCAACAGTAGATGGAAGAGTAGAGCATTTCAAACAACATATGGAAAAGAATGAAAGCATAACATTACAGACTGTCTATTCCTCTCTTGTGTTTCACTGTATATTTCATTCATTCCTCCAAATTACGTCATCTGTAACTAAATATAGCAGATGAACTTGAACATACATAGAGAGAATTTTTTTTTGTTTTTCCAGCATCAAACCTGGCATGAAGTAAGAGACTCAAAAATTATTTGGGCTTCTACAGAATCAGATGAGTAAATACTTCCTCAAACTACCACATTATATGGTAATAGCTAAAAACTCTGATTTCTGATCTTCTCATTTTCATTCTTGCAACACAAATCAGCATGTTGAGGACCTACCACGTGCCCAATATTATATCAGGTATAGAAAAAATGTCTGACATGCCCCCATATTGAAGAAAGGAAATAATAACATATTTCGTGTGGGTCCACTGTTACTTCTTAGATTCTAACGTAATCTTGAGAAGAACAAACTTTTCTCCATGTAATGAAAAAGAATAGTGCAGATTGCCAATGCATAACACATTTACCCTGCTGAATTGCCCTTGCTTAGGTAAATGTGGATGTGCTGACTCCTCTCCCAGAGGACCAAGTATTCCCCATCCTGACTCCTCCTGTTCTCTTTGATATTTCTGACATGGAGTGGCTAAAGATTGTCCCTACTCATGTTTCCTGCTGTTCTTGAGATCACACAAAGGAGAGTGTGGTATAATTTAAGGGATACAGGCTTTAGGAGCCATATCAATATTTTTTCACCACCCCCTCCCCTAGATTTACTACTTTTAGCCTTGTTACCTTGGTAAAATCCTTCTATGCCTCAATTTCCTTTCCATTCTTAAATTAGTAGACTTAAATAGGATACCATGATAATGCCTGTAAAGTAACTGGTACAATTCCTAGTGTACAATAGGTATCAATGGCTGTAAATTTCCTACCTCCCTTATCCTTTTTCATGAAAGAAAATTTATTCGAAGGCTGCCATATTATAAAGGTCATTAAGTCCAACTCCCTCCAGGAAGCAGGAATAATTCAAATATATGTGGGTAATCACATCAAAGTAGTGTCTTAACTATTAGTAAGCCCAATCAATAAAAATAAATCCTGTACTCTCCTAGAGAAGTTTTCTCAACATCCCAGTGACATGCTAAAAACTGTTTACTTATATTTACTTATGGGAGTCCTGCCATCTAGATTAGCATAAATACTGTAATCTGCATTCTACATATACATTTTTGGTTTGTACACAATAGTACTTACCAAGATTGTAATCACTGTATTTGCTAAACCCAAAATAGCTGAAGCTTTATGAACAGATTATGCTATGATGTACATATCTTAAAACTATTCCATTTTAATTTGTAGACAAAGCTATTATTTACTTTGAATAATAATACTTTGCTGTTTGTTACCTTGCCTCTCAGGTTCTAATTTGGATGGATGCCTTGGTCTAAAAAAGAGCTTTGCCCTTTGCTATCACTCTTCCTTGTCCTCTCCTTACTACCGTGACCCACTTCTCAGAGTGAAATCATAGGGCAGAAGCTTCGATAAGATATTTCTTCCGCCCTCTCTGCTGACACTTTCCCTTTCCCAGCTTCCATTCCAAAATTGTTTGATCATTTTACTGCTGCACATTCTCTCCAGACACCCAGGAATTCTGTACTAAAATAAGCATTCCTTTATTGCCAATGGACTGATACACCCAGTACTTAATCCCTGGGGTCTCTTTGCCGCTATTTAATGTACCACTGCTCATGAATTGATGCTGTCCAGTTTTCACAGAAGACTGAAAACTGAACATTTCCTTTGCTTTATGGTGCTTGACACTTTGGCCACATTTGCTTTTCACTCTTCTCACATGACTTGTATCACCAAAGGGCAATGGCTGAGTAAGAGAGGCAAAATGTAATGTTTCTACATCTTTGCTTTCTATAAAATGCCTAGCAAAGAATTGTTTCCTTGTGATGCCCCAGGAATCATATCCCTCATTGCCCTTCCCTTCTCTTTAACTTTACTGAGTAGAAATGAGTGTCATTTAGAATAGGGGTGCCCATCCCCCAGGCCATGACTGGTACTGCCTTCAGTTTCATCTCCTTGAAATTGATATAATTTAATCAGATCATGATCTCTAGAAGCATTCATTCAATGGTGACTATTTTACTAGTATATTCTAATGATCCAGCATGTCTACAGTGTTTTCTGTACAATTACTCTACCTGTATGTATGTTTTTCTTATCAGACAGTATTCTTATGGCTATTAAGTATGATGTTGCCTTTACTTCTTTCTTGTGAGCCACTATCTGTGAATATATTTTTTAAAATCACGTTTTCATCCCACGACTGTCGGCACTGCACTGTGGTTAAGAATGTGAGCCCTGGAATTCTGTCTTTGTCATAGACTAGTTTTGTAAGTTTGGAAAAATCACTGAAGATCTATAATTTGGTGATCACTTCTGTAAAGGAGAAAAACCTAGGCCAGGGGTGGTGGTTCACGCTTGAAATCTCAACACTTTGGAAAGCTGACACAGTAGGATGGCTTGAGCCCAGGAGTTCTGGGCAACATGGTGAGACTCTATCTCTACAAAAAATTTAAAAAAATAGCTAGGCGTGGTGGTGCATGCCCATAGTCCCATCTACACAGGAGGATGAGGGCTTAGGTAGGAGGATTGCTTGAGCCCATGAGTTTGAAGCTACAGTGAATGAAGATCACCCCCTGCACTCCAGCCTGGGCAACAAAGCAAGACTCTGTCAAAAAAAAAAAAAAAAAAAAAAAGGAAATAAAAACCTTGGCATCTAATTCACAGGATCATTGTGAAAATTAAATAAGTTAATGTTTGCAAAGCCCTGAGAACAGTGGTTGGCACATATTAAATGTTCAATAAATGACCATTATTATTATCAACTACAAGTATTCCATGACCTATTTAAGGAATCTTATAAGTTTTCTGAAGTCTAATGCATTCTCTTTTTCTTACCAGTTTGTTCTCATTCAATTCTATTTCTTACCTTTACTGTGATCAACAGAATTCAAAACATGACTTTCATAATTTCTGATATTTTATTCATAGGCTACTGTCTAAATCAGTTTAAAGTAGAATAATAATTTGACTACAAATGGAGAAATGTGGGTTCTATCATGTCTGACATCACTTCAAGCCCAAACACATTATTCATTTACCTTTTGAATGCCTTTTGCAACCCACATTCCCTTTCAGTAATGGGCACTCCACTATAGTGCATTTTAGATCTTGTTTAAATCTGACTCATGTTTCCATCTTATCCTAATGCCATAATCCACATGAAACACTCAGCAAAGTATCTAATCAGTGCTTAAAAATGTTAGCTGTTAATATGGTTTGTGGGTGACATCTGTGATCACAGTGTGGAAATGGCAAGTACACATTTTTTCTTTTTCTGCATGGGCAGTTGTGTGTATACTCTTGACTCCAGCTTGTTCTCTTCTGATTATGACAACCAGATGCTCTCTAATCTAATCCTGGCTCTGCTAATAATAAACTATAACCCCAGGCAGTCCAAATACTTATTTTAAATTATGAGATATTTGAAGAGTGAAAAGAAGTATGAAGAATAGTATAATGAACACCTATGTATCTACCACCTAACTGCCAGATTTCAGCATATTCAACTTTTATTTCACTTTTTTTTTTTTTTTTTTTTTTTTTGAGGTGGAGTCTCACTCTGTCACCTGGACTGGAATAAATGCAGTGGTGCGATCTCGGCTCGCTGCAACCTCTGCCTCCCGGATTCAAGTGATTCTGCTGCCTCAGCCTCTGAAGTAGCTGGGATTACAGGTGCCGGCCACTACACCCAGCTAATTTTTTTTTTTTCATTTTTAGTAGAGATGGGGTTTCACCATGTTGGCCAGGCTGGTCTCGAACTCCTGAGCTCGTGATTTGTCCACCTCAGCCTCCCAAAGTGCTGGGATTACAGGCGTGAGCCACCGTGCCCGGCCTCATATTTTTTAAAGAAACAAAACATTAAAGATACAGTTGTAAGTCTCTGTGTGCCCCTCTTTTATTACATTCTTTTCTCTTGCACCCTCTTCAGAAGCCACTAATACAATTTTTATATTTATAATATGAATGCATGATTTGTACTTTTAAAACAATCTAGAGGTCTACTTTACTCTCTAAATTTTACATATGTTATCAACTTTCCTTCTATATGTTGCTTTGTTTCCTGAAACAGTGTTTTTGAAATTTATCCGTTTTACCCAGAAAACTTCAATTCATACACTTTAGTTGCTTTATAGCATTTTATTGTATAAATCTACCATAATTTATTTCTTCATTCTCCTGTTTACAGATATTTGGGATTGAAGTTTTTCCTGTTTTTTGCAATTACATTTTAATATATTTTTCCTTGTACCCTGTGCAAAAATTTATTTTGGATATGTACCTACAGATAAAGTAGCTGCATGAAATGATGTGTATTTACTAAACTATTCTCAAATTGTTTTTCAAGCAGTGGTATCTACTTATATTCCCACCACCAGTGGGTTAAAGTCTCTACTGCTTATATCCCAGCTTTTTATTATCTGTGAATCAATGAGTATAGTATCATATCAATGCATTGTTTTAGCTTGCATTTCTCTGATTTCTGTTCAGCTTTCTTTTTTTTACTTTGAGGAAGGTGAAATATGTAGTTAAGTATATAATATTAATATTCAGTAACTGTTATTTCTTTTTCAGTCTGTTTCACACACTTTTTGAAAAACTAGTACAGAGAGATCACATTTTATCATTCGATTTGTTCTTGAAATTACCTGATCAAATGTTACGTAGGAAATATAAAAGGGTATAAATAAAATGCATCTATTTCTTTTTTTTTTTAACCAACGTTACTGTGAAAGAAGGTAAGCTGGTAAAGTTTATATTGGGCTGATGTGTTCAGTATTCATATATAGGAGCAGATATAGAGCATAAGAAACATATAAAAGAGCTGACTATAAATGTCCACTAAGCAAGGCTACGGTTTATTCCCAATTGTGCCATCCCATATTGGTATTTAATAGATGGCTGTTGATGATACAATAATCATAACATCATGGTGATAATCATTATAATAATTATAAGATCAGTTAACTATTCATGTTTAGTTAGGTTCAGAAACTGCTGTGATTATGGTTGACTGCTGTCTTTTTAAAAGCACAATTTTCTTCACCCTAACTTCAATTTTTTCCATAAGAACAAAACTAGGATAACTCTGGATTTGCTGAGGTATCTTTAAAGTCTTCTATTTTTGAAGCAAAGTGTGACTCTAGGTTTTCCTTCAGAGGCCATTTTAAATGAAACCAGTCTACAGCTTAAAAACCTTCAGTGGTGCAACACTGAGTTTGCAACAATCATCTCAATTATTTAGAACAGCACACAAATCCCTGTCCACATTTCTAACCATATTGAACACGACTACTTATAATTCACAAATCTTCCTCAATCTCTCATTATCACTGGGCACCACAGTGCATTATCCCTTCTGGAAAAAAGTAATGTTTTACATATATTCCTTGTGTCCTAGCATATATTCCTAGTTTTCTTTCTACTCCTCTGTAAGCTTTTTTGTTTGTTTTGTTTGCCCACCAGGTATCTTAAGTCATATGTCTCTATGAGATCACAAGTTTACTATGTTCAAAATTGAACATAAGCTCCCTCAAACCACCCCGCAAAACTTTTCAGTGAAAAGCACACCACTCATCCAGCTGTACAGGACCAGGTAGAGGAGCCCCTTCCTCTCATTCCCAGAGTTCAATCTATCACCAAATCCTTTTCATATTCTACCTCCTAAAACATCCTGGTACCTATTCACTTCCTTCCACCTCCATTCTCAACACCATCATCGCACCTCACATCTTTACTTCAGATGCTCCCTTTGCCAAGAATCCCCACCCTCATTATTATTCATTTTCTCCCCAGGTCTGTTTAATATACATGTCTGTGATTTGTCACATTCATTAGCCATTTGGGTTGTTTAATTTGTCTATTTTTAAAACAAAATGCATTGTCAATATTTGTAAATATTCTGTATGTATATGTTTATTCTACTTTTAGCTCCTTTTAGTCTTTATCTCTTCATTGTGAAGTGACCTTTCCAAGTCCCAGTTGTCTTCTTTGGCACTCATGAGTGGTGCAGCAATGCCTCCCAGAAGCCCCATGACATTTCTCCTACGGCATGGCTACTATACCCATGCACTTGTCCTATTTACTGGTCCCCTGTGCCTCCAGACCATGAAATTGTTAAGGACAAAGGCCCATTCTTCCTGACTTTATCACCAGCACCTAGCATGCTACACAGGCCATCATCACTGTCCAAAAAATCTCGGCTGCAATAATTGGTTATAATCAATCTCATGATATTGATATTTCCAAGGAAACTAGTGGTAGGGTTACATGATTACTTTTCTGTTTTTGTTGCTTTTGACTAAGTAATGTTTCTGCTTGAAATAATGATAATGTTAATTTCCAAAAATCTGTAAATCCTTTTGTCCTAACCTCATAATTAAAAGTGATGCAGTAAAAACAAAAGATCTGAGGAATTCAAAGACCAAAGATCATACTTGGAAATAGACCCTGCAGCAAACTGCTGGAAAGCTATCTTTGTTTTCAGTATAAAAAAGAAAATTCTATCCCATTACTTCTTAAAATGCATTTTTTTTATTTGTAGTTAAGTAACATTCAGCATACAGAAAACAATGGGGAAAATCTATAAAAACTATCATTTTCAGTGACATTCTGTGACCAGAGAATGCTCTGTGATGGGTTGAAGTTTAGTTTAACAAACAAAACAAACATCTGTCACAAGAAGTCAGTACCTACAAGAGTGTTTCTAAAGGCATGTGTAAGTTATTCTGTGTTAAATAGCACTATGATTATATTTGAACCATATACGTAAATATGCATAACAGTAAATTTGAATGTTCTTGAATAAGTGGGCCCCTTTTAAGTGTCAAAAAAATCATGAACACTTACATAACCTGAATTGCACTATTAATATTCATTGATTCTAAGGAAAAGCTTACTGATAAAATGCTATCATTAATTAAGTAAAGTACATTTAAATTTTCTAATTCCAACAGAAATAGGTGTGTATGCAAATCCATATTACATATGTTTGTGTGAATGATATTTATCTAGCCTTCAAATGCTACTTTGCCTACATATTGATTTGCTAATCTGAAGCCAGTTGGGAGCTACAGTATCTCATATTTAAGAAGCATTACTAGTTAGAAAGCAGGAACCATGTCTTAGAGGGTTTTGCATTCTCATGCGTAGCACGGTGTCTGGCACGTATAATAGCAATAGATATGCAATAAATGCCCAGATGAGTAAACCAAAACACTTTGTCTGTAGGATATTATAAAATTAATGTTGTTCATACTTAAGTGAGACAAAATATATTCATGAAAGAAAACCATAATAAAAAGATTATCTTATGTCAGACTTGGGCTTCTAGGTTCCTGAAAATAAATTCACATGTAGTTACTAATATGTTTGGTCACACTTGGCATGCATTGCTGCACTTTCAGTGATAGTGGCTGCTTTAGCCATGGATTTGATGAAGGGAAGGGATGGGCTGTGGAACGCCTCAGATAGAAAGTTCTTACAGAGAAAGTGTCATGGTGACTATTCTGTCAGTGGCAGGAGGGATCCAGTGGCACTGATTAATATCAGTGCCAGTGCTTTATATGGAAATGGGGAAACACGCAGAGCACAGAACTGAAATTATATTATACGTGTAGTTCCTTTTGCCTGTTTGAACATTATTGCTGGCGGCCAGAATCTCAACCTATATAATTCCATGGGAATTTTTTTCATGGATTCACCCAAGATGAAACTCTTGTCCTGTATCTTTAAATTTTTGCTTTAGCTCTAGGCTTACAGTGAACTCTGTAGTCAGGCTGCATAAATATTCCTGAGCTTTGGCTTTCTGCACCAAACTCTCCTGAGAATAGCATAGGCAGTAGATTGCAGTTAAGGATTTTTTAAATGTTTTAATTTTGTGATAGCATGCATTTTCACAAAAACCAATGTGTGCTTTAGCTTGCTACACTCTCCCCATTCTATATATTTAGAGGGAAGAGAGTAGGGAGTCATAGAGCCTGTCGTTATTTTAAAAGAAAAAGCCATAGATGTCCACGTGAAAGAGCAGAAGATTTATTAATGGAAAATGAAATAAATAAAATACTCTCTAAAGTATAAAAAGACTATTCAGCAATAAATCTTGCAGTACAGGCTGATATGCAGTGCTTAAGGTCTTATCAAGCCTATACTGAAGGAATTCAGTAGACAGTTACACTATGAATCAAGACAATATATTTAGCATATACTCTGCGTTTGCTTGCTTTTTTATTTTGTTAAACTTTCGCCAGGCTTTGACCACATTACATATTTAGTTGGAGTCTTTATATAAGGGAGCCATGATTTTACTTTTTGTATACTTTATAACTTATTAGGTAAAATGGGGCAATAGAATAAATAGAATAATGCAGGGTTTATTTGTTCTTTCTGAAGGTTTTGGATACAATTATTTCTCATGGTTTTTCTTTTGCCCTCATAAAATAAGGCTCTGCACCTCAGGTTGGAATCAATTAGGCTGATCCTCAGCTGTTCAGCATTCAAGGTTCCCAGTGGGGCAGCCTGTATGTACCTGCTCTCCCCACTGAGGTTTTAAGCTGAACTTCTGGAATTGTGCCCAGTCTTTGGGCCAGACACAGTATCTCAGCAATGCTAGTGCAGAAGTCTAGTAGGTAAAAACCTCTTTCATGGTTTAGATAAAAATCTATTGGTGCTCTTCTAAAAACAATCCTCTACCTGAAATGCTTGTAACCAGAAAATAACACTGGCAATTAGAGAGGAAGACAGCCACATAATGGGAGATGCAGAGACTCTGGGTTGGTGATTATTTATATAATATTGTTGAATGGTATAATAGATGCATACGTTCTATTGAGCTAAAGCTGTATTTATCCACTTGCCTTATTTTCATAAAGAATATATAGTAATCTAATTTCTAAAGAAAAATGTGCTATGTGGATTCTTTATACAAGAATGAGAGCTTATTTTTGGATGTAATAAGAAATGTGAAATTATTATTATTAAGAAAGTAAGATGTGGGTATTTCTCTTCCAAAGGTGTTGGTCTTCTCTGCAGCATATCTCCAGATCATCGTCAGCAGGACTGAGTTGAACAAATTGAAGAAAACAACAGTATTGCTTTTCAGATTCTGAATAATTTGCAATATTAAATTTGTAGATCAAATCAGCATTTAAATATCTGTCAAAATGATTGCTAATACAATTTGGAATTCAGGTTGAATTTTGAAATTAATGAAACTACACAAGCTTAATGAACATTAGGGATTAAAATGCAAGAATTTCTGTACTATGGAAGGACACATGCACAGGCCTGCTTTTTACAAGATCACAGGGGGAAATGAAGGGAATTCTTGAAATCAAAAACGCTGCTAAATACAAATGTCAAATCTTAGTCATCTTCTTACTTGACCAATGAGCAGCATTAGACAGAGTTGAATGCTGTCTACTCTGTGAAACATTTTCTTTACTTGGTTTCCAATACACATTTTCTTTGATTTCCCTCCTCCTTCTCTAGCCATTCCTTCTTAGCGGGCTCTTCCTCTTCCTCTCTAACTCTTAATTTTAGAGTGCTCCAGGGCTCAGTCCCTGGACCTCTTGTCTTTTCTATCTATACTCATTCCCTTTGTAACTTCAAATAGTCTTCTTGGCTTTAAATACCATCCACAGACTGAAGACTCTAACATTTTTGCTATATCCCCTAAAAACCCCAGATTTATACTCACGAACTCACTTGGATGACTAATCTGCATCTCAAATTTAACATGTCCACACTCCTGATAATTTCCCCAGACCTACTTTTCCCGTTGTCTTTCTCATCTCAGTTAACGTCAACTTCATTCTTCCAGTGGCTTGGGCCAAAACCCTTAGAGGCATTCATGACTCATCACTTTCTCTCATACCCACATCCTCTCTGTGG
Source organism: Homo sapiens (assembly GCF_000001405.40). Classification (NCBI taxonomy): domain Eukaryota; kingdom Metazoa; phylum Chordata; class Mammalia; order Primates; family Hominidae; genus Homo; species Homo sapiens. The sequence continues at coordinate 84,288,226 of NC_000005.10, forward strand.
GCAGTTTATGTTGCCTTTACCTTTAAAATACATCCAGAATGTGACCATTTCTCACCCCTACACTTCTAACACCCGAGTTCAATCCATAATCCTCTTTTGCCTGGGTGACTGCAATAACCTCATTTCTTTGCTTTTATTTTTGATGTTTTCACTATCTTCTCAACATGCAGCAAGAGTGATTTTGTTAAAAAATGTCAGGTTATGCTTCCCCTTTGGTTAAAATTCTCATTGTGATGATGAAATTCTAAAATTTAGCAGGGAGTATAATGCAGGCCCTGACCAACTGAAATTCATGCTAACATCCACCTACTAAGATTGGACCAATACCTACCAAGTAAATATCAACTGTACTCAGAGGGCTTCACATCGTCCTGTCACCTCGGGATATTTCCATCTAAACACTTTCCTCTGTTTGGAATGCTTTTGCTCCAAGCAAGAGTCTCATCTTCCTTAAGTCTTTACTAAGAAATTATCTTCTCAGAAAGCTTTCCCCTGACTACTCAACTTAAAATTGCAGGTCTTCCTGACCCCAAATCCTGGCCTTCCTTAGGAACACTGATCACCAAATGTCATACTACACATTTTACATAAATATCTTGTTTATTGTCTCTCTTCCCCACTATAATGAATCCCCACAAGAATAGACTTTTTTTTTTTACTCCTATACCCATCACTTAGAACAAGGTCTACATAAAATAAGTGCTCGAGAATACTTGTTGAATTAAAGTTGAATAAATAAATGAACAAATGAAAGCAACGTATAGTGTGGAGCTAAGAAACGCAGCTCAAAGCTTGGGGATTGTAACTGTACCTGTCTTATCCTAGAATGGCACATTTAAAAAATGTTTTTGTTTTTGTTATTTCTAGGTGAACTGCTAAATTCAATAGTTTCCATCTAGATTTCTAAATGGAGCTGGGAATATATAAACAAACAAACAAATAAATAAGTAGAGTAAGTCTACAATGTGAGTTTGGCTTTTTAGTGTTAATAATGTTACACATTTAACATTCCGTGACATTATCTAAATAAACTTACTTAAACTCACCCAATAACAATAAGAGTGTTTGTTTAACTTTTCCTTCCCTTAAATTAGCAAAACAGCTTAATCAGGGTAACAAAGAGCTGCTTGAGTTTTATATACTGTGCCTTCTTCCCAGAACTTACTATTTCCCAGCTCCTCCATGAGGAGAGATTTTACCTCTGAGTTCTTATTATTTCCATTTTCTCTTAACGAGCTCTTTCTGCTCAGCATTGATAAATGCTCAAATCATCACAAACACTTCCTCCCTTATGACTCCTTCAGTCACTTCACTGCTTGCAAGTTGTAGTCTGTCCCCAATTCCTCACCTAAAAAGGAACACCCAGAGCCCCTTGGTTGTGAATCTAGTGGGTATTCCTTGGTCTTTATCCTACCTGACTTTCCGTCAACAACTGAGATGACTAACATCTGATTCTTAGGACACTTTCCTTATTGATAGCATTCATTCATTTATCTCCTTCCATTCCTTTGACTAACCTCTCTGGGTATTCTTTCTCACATTATTTGTTTATCAGAAATGAATACGCTTACTGAAGTTTTTTCTAATAAGGTCAGATACTTCCAACTTTTAAGTTAAGAAATTGTTTAAGCACTAAAATATGTTAATGAAATGAAAACATTAATAAATTAGTTCTATACTTCCACAGACATATTCTGACTATAAATCTTAAGTAATTTCATTTTAATATCCCACTGCCTAATGAAAAGAATTAAGCACATACACTTCCTAACTTCTAAGTAACAGATTGTGGAGGATGCTTTAATGGGACCCTCAGATCCTCCTTCAGGAACAAAACATTAATTTCCCCAGCCACAAGTGTTGGATCCTGAAAGCTCACAAGTTAGTACCTCCCTACTCATTCTCCTGCCCAATAAAACTACCTCATCTGCATGTCTTCCCTGAGGACAGCCATATCCAAGGACTGCTTGATGCTGGGGTGAAAAAGCACAACCCCCTTGTCTCAATGCCAGACAATGTGGAAGAGCCATGCTAGCTTCAGAGCTCCCCATGACACTATCTGAGAGCTCTTTTACAACCACCACTCAGTAAGCCTCCCCGTCTTCCCAGTGCTGCTGCCCTTACTCCCTCTAAGAGCTCTTCTTGCACATCAATCTCCATTTCAGACTCTGGTGCCTGGGAAATTCCATCTAGACATACGTCATCTCTAATACTTGAGATACTGAGTGTCTGTGCTACCGAACGTTGGCAGAATATGCCACCTCAAAATTAGCCACTTTGGCATAAGGCATTTCAAAAATAGCAGGAAAAAAAGAGTCTGACCTTCTTTCTCCTCCCTGTACCAGGAAGAAAGAAATATTTTTCTTACCAGAGATGGTGAGTCAAGGCTGAAAAGTATCTGTACCAACAGATCTTATAAAAATAATTTTTATCTTCCTTAGCTATCCCATACATATTAGTTACTTATCCACTATCACCAGACTTTGTTCAACCTAATGTATAAACATCTGGGTTTTGCCACTTCTTTCGGTCTTCATTTTCTTGTGGAGATTTCTAGGTGCATGTAAAATAAACTCTACGATTTTCTCCTATTAATCTGCCTTATGTCAATCTAGTCTCAAACCTAGCCAAAGATCCTAAGAGTGCAGAGGTAGAGCTTTGCCTTCCCTACTTCATTTCAAGTGGCTCAGTTTCAACCCTTGAACAGAATGCCACTGAACATTTGTGATTTCAGCTTTAGTCTCACTGCAACATTTAAACTAAAAATATTCTCTACTAAGCCAGAGAAGTTGGTCACATTATAATCTCCTTGATAACCTGCTTTAAAATTTCAATATGTAGTACTAGAAAAAAATGCAAGGTAGTGCCTGCCCAACAGTGAGTTTAGTTGACAGAATCAAGCAAGTTACTCGTAGCTGCTTGTCAAATTGAACCAAACTAAAGTGAGAAAAGAGCTGATAGGTTTAGAGTCAGGTAAATCAATTAAGGCTTACCATTTCTCCTTACTAAATTGATTTTCATGATCGGCACGAGAATGTCAGCCAAATGATATTAGGACATTTAATTTTATTTTAGCTATATTTACACACACATGAATGCACAACCGGTTTGCCTGAATATAAAGAACACTTGAATCAGGGAACAATCGCACTTTTTAAGACAGAGGTTATCAGATTGAATTTTTTGAAAATATAGGTATATATCCTTTTAAAAAGGTACACTAAAAACAAAACAACCCTGAAAGGTGGGAAATAATATGACGGTGTGTGTGCCAAAACATTTAACTTAAAGAAAAGCAATGTAAATAACAAACCGAATAGAATTTTAGACAAAAATTGATACAAAGATTATAAGAGATAGGTGACTAACCACCAGGAAGTGAGAACATTCATTATCATGTATGTGTGTGTATATATCTATCTATATCTATATATCTATATATATATCTATCTATATAGATATATCTATATATCTATCTATGTAGATCTATCTATATATCTATATAGATCTATCTATATAGATATATCTATATATCTATATATCTATATATCATATACAGATATATACACACACATATATATACACACACATATATATACACACACATATATATATATATACCTACAGGCCCTGGATATATAGAAAGTAATAACTTTAACAAAAGTATAGCAGACAATATACAGAGCATCAAATTATATTTTTGTAGCTCCAACTCCAACATATAAAAGCACATTTGCCATTGATATACCCAGATACATTAAAAAAGAAAAAAAACTCAGTGCTACATCTCTACTGCCCAATACAGTAGCACTAGCCACAAGTGGCTATATAAACTTAAAGTTAAATTTTATTTAACTTAAAGTTAAATAAAATTACAATTACAAATTCAGTGAAAGTAAATTTCTGTTTTTTTGTTTGTTTTGTTTTTTTAGCCACCCTGTCTGTGGTACTTTGTCACTGCAGCTCCAGCCAAATAACACATCAGGTTTGATATATTTTTACACCATACTCTCTTTCATACCTGCTTACTAACAATAATTGGAAATATCAATAACACTGATGATTTTTTTTAAATCACAAAATTATGACATTCAAAATTTAGAGGTTGTTTTCTGAATAAGATATTAAAAGGCACTCAGAATTTCAGAACCCATCTCATGCTGAATAAGACATAGTGTCCCGGAGCCAGGAAAGCATTCACTTTTTATAAATGCACTTTTGTTTAGTTCTCTCAGCTGTGCACAGAAGAAACAGGACAGAGAATTGCACAGATTTGTGCAGCATATTATCCAACCAACAGCAATGATACAAACTCTCAATGGCAGAAGAGATATTATGAGTGTTTATTGTTAATGTTTGAAAATAAAAAGTGGTAATGCTATAATTATATCCTATTTTTTTAAGATTTGAATATATCCTACCATTAAAATATTTGGTTCTCATGCTATATACTTTTCTTTATTTCACAGACTAAGGAATTTATCAGATACCAGAAACTCATGGGTATATTGAATAAGCCCAGAGTTATTGCTAATGTGAGAAACACACTCACCCACCCAAACCCAAAGATGGACTTAGAAGCAAAAAGAACAGCGAAAGTGAGACTTTTAATAACAGCCTTGCAAGATCGAGTGTCTGGTAGGCAGGCACATCTGGGGCAGTCACAACAGGTAATTTATCTCCTAGCACGCAAGTCCCTCCCCTAGTTCCTCATTGGTCGAGTACTATGGGGTTACAATCTTCCCAGACGTTGCCTAAAGTTTCATTATCTCCCTTATAAGGTTATACCTCCATCCCCTTCCTTGCTTAAGTTTCGACTTCCCAAAAATGAAACTTTCTTCCCTTTTATGGGCTGACCCCTCCGCTACATTCTGTTTGCTTATTGTGACCTTCTAGGTGCAAGAGCCCTGTGGTTTGTTACATTTGCAGCCTGGCTGCCAGTACTTAGATTTATCATGCCTTGAAAATGGACCATTTAAAATGTTTTCTCACACTAACAACACAATCAAAGCCGTTGATATATTTCTTTAACAAACACGAGCAATTTACAAAGTTAATTAATTTAATTTTCCTAAAAAGCTTATGAATAAACACTATTATTACCCAATTTTAAAGTTGGGTAACGTAAGATGGCAGAGAGGTTGAATAACTTCCTGAAAGACACTGGGGGCACAGCCTCAGTTTGAATCCAAGCTGCTGCCTTTGGAGTCTGTGCTCTTAACCACTGTGCTACAGCTTAACCTGCGAGTAGCTCTGCTAACTCTTGTTTTCAAGCGTAGACTTACCCATGTAGAGGCAAACATAGGGAAAAATGAATCGTGTCAAGTTCCATCCGCATGTGTCCCAGTTAAATGTCTACATTAAGGTAAATTAAAGCTGGCAAATCTACAGTATTTAGGGATACATTTTCAGGTTGTAATGTGGTAAAACAAGCAAGAAAGTGATTAATATAAAAATAAATACAGTATTTTGCTTTGCCAGCTGTGGGAGGCTGGGGGAGGGGGGATTGTGGCTAGAAAAGAGTACTACACAGAATGTATCTGGATTAAGACTGTTTTTTTTTTTTTGACCAAATGATGTTATATGAGTTTTCTCTTGAAAACAATTCAATACGATGTATGTTTGTTTTATTCACTTTTCTGTTTATATGTAATTTCTTGCAACAAAAGTCTTAATACATTTATATAGACATACAAATACATATTTTAGGTTTGTTGGAAACAGAACAATATTATATATCCCATTTGCAAATGTTTATATAAAATACATGAAGTATGGCAGCATCCAAAAAAGTAAGTCAAACTTACATACTGTAAAATTGCAGATTCCCCTTCATTATTGCATATACCATAATGACCATAAATTAAGTCATCATCGGCCGGGTGCGGTGGCTCACGCCTGTAATCCCAGCACTTCAGGAGGCCGAGACGGGTGGATCACGAGGTCAGGAGATCGAGACCATCCTGGCTAACATGGTGAAACCCCGTCTCTACTAAAAAAATAGAAAAAATTAGCCAGGCATTGTGGCGGGCACCTGTAGTCCCAGCTACTCGGGAGGCTGACGCAGGAGAATGGCATGAACCCGGGAGGTGGAGCTTTCAGTGAGCTGAGATCATTCCACTGCACTCCAGCCTGGGTGACAGAGCGAGACTCTGTCTCAAAAAAAAAAAAAAAAAAAAAAAAAATTAAGTCATCATCCAGATGGAAATGCTGTGAAAAGTTTCAACTAGCCAGATATACTAGACAAATATTCATAAGAAATAAAACATTTTGAATACTTATTAACAAATTTTAGTTTTTTGGCAGATGTAGTCATATATATGTGCATACATATATACATATATACATACATGTTTATCACACTCAAGAATTATACCAATTAAAGGGATTCTTTATATTTAAAAAATAATAATTATAAACCAAAATTGATTCATATTGTTGGAAAACATTATAAAGAGTTATGTAGATTGCACAGTTAGGAAATAAATTGGCCAACATTTACTAGTTAATCTTTATTAAGAACTTACTGAGTGTCAGGTGCTGTGGTAACACATTATGTGCATTACGTTTGTAAATCCCAACAATGAATTAAGCAGCCTTATGATTCTCATCTCACAGAATCTAGAGGTAAGTAACTTGCCCAAGTTACACTGCTGGTAAGAAGCCCTACTTCATCAACAACAACTACACTTGAAACAATAGCAAAATTGAAGTGTGACAGTAAACTGAATGCAATATACATTACAGTATAATTTATTTTATTACTTACACATTTCAGCAAAGTGCAAGTTTTCTGGAGTATTTATCTTGTTCCCATAGATGTTGTACAGGGAATTCAATAATAAGAATAGTAGCCAGAAAAGAAAAAGGCAGAAAACTTAACAGTTATAAGAAAATGAAAAATTTTAGTACTTTTTTCTATTCCCATGCTATATATCATAATATAGAGGAAATTAAAGAAAAATATTTTTGATTACATAACTTTTAAAAATAATAATTCTGTAGGTGTGAATATGTGTGTGTTAACCTGTATGAGTGATTAATATGTCATTAGAAGAAAGGATGTTACCCACTCTAAAATAATGTTAGATGACATTTATGCACTAATAATATGAACCACAAAAAAAGTCTAAAATATTTCAGACAATGGTACTTATACTTAAAAATGAATTTATCAATATTACCAAAGCAACAGGAAAGTCTATCATCATAACAGTGGAGTATTAATACCCATGATAAAAATTAACTAAATTAAATTATATTTAGATATTTTTTGAATATTCAACAAGAATTAATTTGTAAATGAGTAACAGGCAAACTTACTGACTTTTCCTAAATATAATGACTGACTTCTGAGAGCTAATCAGAGTTCACTGCTTCATTTCAAAAATAGCAGAGTAATAATATATAATATTAATTTAAACATATTACTCTTAAAAAACATAACTACAAGATTTTCCTAAACAACTTGCAACTTAATAATGCATACTGATATTAATTGCAATTGTTTATATACAAAAACTTGGGTTGAATTCTCTCTCTGTGTTGCTTAACTGTTATACACACACCATTTGCTATGTTTTAATGGAAGCATTTTGAATACCCAAAGACATGTTTTTAATTGATGAACAGTGACTCAGGTTGTCAGCAATCATATAGGAAGGAAATTATAGGTTATTACAGGCATGTGACAGAAGTTACCATATTTTTCCTTCAGAGTTTGGTTCTAACACTTTGTATTTTGGCCAAATTTGTAGTTACTTTACCTTTTCTAGCTTTGATTTCTGCATTGGCAAAATGGGGATAATTAGAGTTACTATCTCTATTTGTTGTTATAAAGATAATTGTATACTACACAAAAGCAACAAACTTTGTATCTGACACATAGTAGGTGATTTGTACACATCAGTTACCTACTTTTTTCTAACTCTAAGAAGGCTTAGGTTGTTACAGAAAAGTTACTAAAGTCTTTCCCTCTTTCCTCTCCCCAGGGAACCCCTCTTTCTTTCCTGTTCTATGTAGTACTTGGAGCTCCAGGCAGAGAAGTTCAACTTGCTAAGTAGGTGCCTTATTACTGTTGTATCAACATTCAATTTTAGATAGGTATTTTAATGATTTTGTAAGTAAAAGTTATATTCTAGAATAAATCAGTTCTATTCTGCATTTCCCACAGGATCTAGGAGAGTGGCACATACTCAGCAAATATTAAATACATATTTGGAAATTAAAATGAAACTAACTAAATCTTCCATCTAAAATGCACAAGATATTTATTACTCATTTTGAGAAAATATGTTTTTAAGCTGATCAAACTAGTATACAAGTTATTCTTTATGCTACCTAAATTTAAAACAGAAGAGAAGTTCAGGTTGATGTTTTATACCAAGCTAAACTTGTGTACAACTAAAGGAAACTGGTGCAGAAGCTCTTTAGTTTAATTAGATCCCATCTGTCAATTTTTGATTTGTTTCAATTGTTTTTGGCAACTTCATCATAAAATCTCTGCCATGCCTATGTCCTGAATGGTATTGCTTAGAGCAAAAGAAGCCATCATTAGAGTGATCAGACAAGCTACAGAATGGGAGAAAATTTTTACAATCTACCCATCTGACAAAGGTCTATTATCCAGAATCTACAAGGAACTTAAGCAAATTTTTAAGAAAAAAAACCAAACAGGTCAGGTTCGCTGGCTCACGCCTGCAATCCCAGCACTTTGGGAGGCTGAGACGGGCGGATCACGAGGTCAGGAGATCGAGACCATCCTGGCTAATATGGTGAAACCCCGTCTCCACTAAATATACAAAAAATTAGCTGGGTATGGAAGGGGGTGCCAATAGTCCCAGCTACTCAGGAGGCTGAGGCAGGAGAATGGTGTGAACCCAGGAGGCAAAGCTTGCAGTGAGCCGAGATTACACCACTGCACTCCAGCCTGGGCGACAGAGCAAGACTCCGAAAAAAAAAAAAAAAAAAAAGACACCATTAAAAAGTGGGTAGAGGACATAAACAGACACTTTTCTAAAGAGGACATATATGCGACCAACAAACATGGAAAAAAGCTTAACATCACTGATCATCAGAGAAATGCAAATCAAAACCACAATGATATATGATCTCATGCCAGTCAGAATGACAATTATAAAAAATTTCAAGAAACAACAGATGCTGATGAGGTTTCAGAGAAATAGGAATGCTTTTACACTGTTGGTGGGAATTAGTTCAACCATTGTGGAAAACAGTGCAGCAATTCTTCAAAGATTTAGAACCAGAAATACCATTTCTTGGGGTGAACAGACCCAACATCAGGTCGTGGGGGTGACGAATTCCGGCAGAGTCAAAGGAATGAGAAAAAGTCAGTTTGAGAGAGAAAAGTGGGTCCAGGGGACCATCGGGAGTTTATGGAGGCTGAGGAGGCTGAGAAGCCCCCGAGCTCTGGGAGCCCATGCTATTTATTGGTAATCCAACAAAGAAACAGGTGGTGAGAATGTGGGAATCAAAAGGGCCTGTTGCATTAAGGACATGATTTACAGCTGTGATGGTTTAGCAGTTTCTCTGCTACTTGAGATAATGGAGAGCAGGTTCTTTTAACTCAAGATACAGTCGATCCTGGGAGAGCAAGAAACAAGGAGCCAGCAAGTCTAGACACATTCCAGAGCCACGAGCCCTGGATTCTATCCAAGCCACTACAGATTTTATGCCCTGGGCTTAGATTATGGTGCATCAGGGTAGCCTTCCACCCTTTAACACAGAGCTTGGTGTTCCCAAAGCCCTCAAGGGGTTTTAGACCCCGGACCCCAGACATGTTCCAAGACTCTTTTACATTATGTCAGACATGCAAGCCCTGCCTCAGCTTCTCCCAACACTCAGCTTTTTCCAACACCATTTGAACCAGCAATCCCATTACTGAGTACATACCCAAAGGAGTATAAATCATTCTATTATAAAGATACATGCACGCGTGTATTCCTTGCAGCACTATTCACAATAGCAAAGACATGGAATCAACCCAAATGCCCATCAATGATAGACTGGATAAAGAAAATGTGGTACGTACACACCATGGCATACTATGCAGCCATAAAAAGGAATGAGATCATGTCTTTTGCAGAGCCACTGATGAAGCTGGAAGTCATCCTCAGCAAACTACCACAGGAACAGAAAACTAAACACTGTATGTTCTCACTTATAAGTGGGGGCTGACAATGAGAAGACATGGACACGGGGAGGGGAACAACACACACTGGGGCCTGTCAGAGGCTTGGCAGAGAGCATCAGGAAAAACAGCTAATGCATACTGGGCTTAATACCAAGGTGATAGGTTGATAGGTGCAGTAAACCACCATGGCACACGTTTACCTATGTAACAAACCTGCAAATCCTGCACATGTACCCTGAAACTTAATAAAATAAAAAAGAAACTTCTCACCAGCCTCCCTTCTCACCCACTTAAATGTGGCAACTGGCTAGATTACTACAGGGAAACTGCTCTTGCCAAAATCATATATAATCTCCTTATTGTGAAAGCGATGTCACACCTTTGTTCTCCTCTCAAATTGAACAAAATTGACTTCTCCATTCTTGACAACACTCTGTTCCCTTGGGTGCCACCATCCACAGGGTTCCTCTCTTATCTGATTCAATGCTGATTCGGTCTTTTGTGGTTGGGGCGCATCAAGGATCAGCCCTGTGGCTGCTTCTTCATCCTCTACTACATCCTCTCTAGGCCACCTCACATAGCCTCATTTGCGAGCTGCTTACTGACTGCTCTAACATCTTTAATCTCCAGCAAAGAAGGGAGCCATAACCCGCAGCTAAAACTGAAGACCTGGTGCTGAGAAATGAAATACTGTGAAGGACAACTTGGTACAGAATATTCTGTAAGTAGGTTGCAGTGTAGGTAAGAGAGGACTACCTCTGGAACACACCACGAGGACAGGTATAATCCCCATTAAACATAATAGGAATCCAATGACCAAAGTTGTTGAGCTAAGAGATAGTGGTATATACACATTTTTTAAAAAAATGATATAGGCTAATATCGAAAGAAGGAGCATGGAACTGGAAGTACCTAAAGAGCAGAATGGGAGTGTTCCCTCTTTTAGGACTCTCAGCATTATTTTTTATATTTTCTTTAAGCAACATGCATTATTACTTGAAGATATATGTAACCAATTAATGCAAGTATAAAACTCTGAAAATGCTTTCTTTCCTGAGATCCCCACTCCTCATAGATCCCTACAAACTTTTATACTGTCATTAAAGCTTCTCCAGCAGTTCTACCTCCTTAAATTACCTTTTTTCCCCCTATAATGGAAAAATCTTTTCTCTAACTTTTAAATTTATCCCCCACTGTCCCAACATAAACATAAACTTATATTCAATTGTTTCATTTTTGTGACTGTAATTATTGTTTTGTCCTTTTCTAAGTAGTCTCAATTTGATCTAGTTTTCATATGTACAAAGTTTCATTTTTCTTGGAGTTAGTAATTGCCTTTGTTTTAATGTACTTAATGACCTTTGTATGTATGTACATATGTATGTATAACCTCTATTTCAGTTAGATCTTAGAATGGATAGGAGGTGAACATATCTGATCAGTTAGCCACCTAATAAGTACCAATATTTTTGTTTGCCTGTAGAGCAATCATTATCAGCCCATAAATGTGGAACATTCTGAGTATCATAACATATTTGAAACTTGTGTTACCACATAAAATATGTATATTTTAAAAATCTACCATGTCTAGTCTGAATTTACCAACATTCCCAAGTATTAGTTTTCTAATGCTGTCATATCAAATTATCATGAACTGACTGGCTAATAACAAACATTTATTTTACTACAGTTCTATAGGCTTGACGTTTGGCACAGTACTCACTGGATTAATATCAAAGTGTCAGCAGGGCTGCATTCCCTTCTGGAGGCTAGGGGGAAGAATGTGTTTTATTGCCTTTCCATCTTCTAGAGGCTGCCTGCATTTCTTAGCTTTTGGCCCTCTTACATCAGCAACCTTGCATCTCTTTGACTATTCTCCCATAATCACATCCCCTCTCCTCTGAATTGAATTCAGGTGGGAATGGTTCTCTGATTTTAAATACCCAGGTGCTTAGGTTGGTTCCACCTGGATACTATAGGATGGTCTTCTTATCTCAAGGCCCCTTAGCCTTAACGACACCTGCAAAGTGTCTTTTGACAAAGGAAATAACTATTTGCAGTTCCCCTGCATTAGGAAAGATGGGCACATCTTTAAAAGACCATTATTCTGCCTACCACATCTACTATCATGTTGCAATCTTATCTATAAAAATGTTTAACAACACTGGATATGTTATATTCTCTGAAAAATTATTTTATTTCCTAAGTCAAACATCTATAATAAGTAATCAACTATGATGATACAGAAAGTGAAATGCATATTCTAACAAATAGCACAGAAATTCATCCTTAAGAAATATTTGTTAGTTAAGAATGACTATAAATAATAATTATATAAGTGCTTCCATTTATAATTGCCTCAAAACTACACTCTTAGGTAAACTGTATCTTCATACATAAACAAGGAAATAGACAAGGTTATGTAACATGATTAGAATCACAGAATTCTTAGATTGCAATATTTGTATACCATCATTAAGTGGTAGAAGCTAAACTAGACCTAGAATTTAGGTATGCTGACTCCAAGCCAAATATACATGCACACACAGACACATACACACACACACACACACACGTCTCATAAAATATTTTAAAAATTGTACAGAATCAGCTGGGCGCAGTGGCTCACGCCTGTAATCCCAACATTTTGGGTGGCTGAGGCAGGTGGATCACCTGAGGTCGAGAGTTCAAGACCAGCCTGACCAATATGGAGAAACCCCATCTCTATTAAAAATACAAAATTAGCTGATGTGGTGGCTCATGCCTGTAATCCCGGCTACTCGGGAGGCTGAGGCGGGAGAATCGCTTGAACCCTGGAGGCGGAGGTTGCGGTGAGCCCATATCATGCCATTGCACTCCAGCCTGGGCAACAAGAGCGAAATTCTGTCTCAAAAAAAAAAGAAAAAAAAAAAAGAAAGAAATGTATAGAATCATATGGAATCAGAAGTTAAAAAAAAAGTCAAATGCAAACTCCTGAAGCAAAATGAATTCAACTGCATGTACTATAAAAGATAGTTATTATGACAGGACAAATTTTAGACTTGTCAATCTCAAAATAATCCTGTTAAATCAAGTCCTATGTAATGGAGCATATTCTTATTCTTTTAAGCCTTAGTATTTGCTTGCTATCATGGGCGAAATACAGAAATGGAATGGTCAGCTCCTTCTTGCTAAAGTATGTCAGCCTCCATCTTATTATATAATCACAATTATCTTTATTTTGTCAAAAGCCTGTCATACTTTTAGTAAAGAATGAAACTATGGCTGCACAGTATCATGCTGCAGGCCACTGTGACTCATGACTTTGGAAAGCAATCATTAATCAAATAAATTTAAAAAACAAGATTCAAGCACTTCTGTTTGTGATGAGTTTTGCTTCTCCTTTTAAGGAATATCTCAGTAATTCCTTAGAACTGACTGGTCCAAAGTAAATAGAAAAGAGGAAGATGAAAAAGAAACAGGAATTCTAAGTATTTCTTCACCTAGGTTCAGATGTTTATATTTTTGCGTGATTTTTTTTCCTGACTAGAACTTCCAGAGTTTTCATCATATTATCAAAGTCCTGTGGGACACAGGAACTTAAAATCTATCTTGTGCTGACTTTAAATTGTTGCAGAGGCCAACATTAAAATAATGTTAAAAACCGATAAAAATATTTTTCTTTATAAAGAGTATTGACTATACACGTATATAGAAAGTATATCTTATACAAATCTGTCTCAAAAATCAGTCATTTAATGCAATTATAAACCTTACTGGTAATGCCTTGAGAAAATTAGTATTATCATGGAGCTTTCAATTTATTCTTTTATCAGCTCCATGTTAATGTTTTATTGCTTTTTTTTCTGCAGCTTACATTAGCACATTCATAACTAGATATGCTTTTTTAAATTCACGATCTCAATTATTTTATTTTATTGTTATTATTATTATTTTGAGACAGAGTCTCACTCTGTCGCCCAGGCTAGAGTGCAGTGGCACAATCTCGGCTCACTGCAAGCTCTGCCTCCCGGGTTCACGCCATTCTCCTGCCTCAGTCTCTCGAGTAGCTGGGACTACAGGCGCCTGACACCACACCCAGCTAATTTTTTGTATTTTTAGTAAAGACGGGGTTTCACTGTGTTAGCGAGGATGGTCTCGATCTCCTGACCTCGTGATCCGCCTGCCTCGGCCTCGCAAAGTGCTGAGATTACAGGCGTAAGCCACTGCGTCCAGCCCCAATTATTTTATTTTAAATGGAACCCTTATAGCCTTACAAGGTTTGGCATGGGTTTATCCTCTTCATTTCCCAAAAATGTCCATGAAATGTTATTTCCCAAAGTACTTCCTGTATTATCTATCTCTATTAAATGTTTTCTTTCCAGATAGTATCATCGACTTACTTGCTGGTGATTTGGGGCCCATGGAAACAATAGTAAAAACTAAAGTATTCAATCAAAGTAGAATGTGGAAAATCCTCAAAATTTATAGAGAAGACTGAGATCATCTAGCAGAAATAGTAAAAATATTTCATTCATTGCTTCCTATGTGATTTGCATTGTCTTCATGATGCTTACAATTTAGTTCAGAAGTTCCTAATTGAATCAAAATCAGAGAGAGATAGGTAGCTTCTGTTCTAAAGAGAATCATTCCACCTAACTTGGGATCTCATTCCTTGTTGTATCTAGAACATATCTTTGAGCCATTGGTTCTATCCTTTGTGTAATCTCAGAGAGTGGATCTGTACACTTGTCCTTTGTCCAAGTTGTCATTTTCCATTTTGTTTCAGTTATCTACTCTCTGCTTTCTTTCTTAGCTGTTTGGCCAGAATGCCCTCCACTCCGACTTCTCTTTACTATGTGTGATAGCTAAGAAATAGCTGTAGTATATTTGGAGTATTCTTTCTGTCACTTATGTTCTGGCTTCACAGTCATGACATCCCACTTGAGGGTAAAACACTAGCAGAACTAGAGAACCGAGAGCTACCACCACACCTGCAAAGCTGACTGCACTACTCATCCTCCCCTTGCTTTCCTAACCTGCATTCTAGCCATGCATAAACATGATAACAACTTTTGAAGTATAGTACTGTAGACTTTTTTGTCTTTTCCATTTTCCAAATTGTTAATCTGCCAACAAGTTGAATTACATTCATGGATTAGTCATTTACATGGATTAGTCATTCTGATTTCACGCGTACTAGTCTGCACTCCCCAATGAATTTAGAGATTAAAGGCAATGTGGGCATATAGAAAACAGTCATTATATTATTATATTTTACATTTGTGTTGAATAATTTTTAATTTCAAAAGTTAATAGTTAAAAATTATAGTGAATTTTCTAACAGTACAGAACAGTATATACAACATTTTGAATTCTCTTTTATTCTTCCAGCTCTTTAATTCCACTTCCCGGAGGCATCAACTTGAACAGCATGTCTCTCTCTCTCTCTGTGTGTGTGTGTGTGTGTGTGTGTGTGTGTGTGTGTGTGTTTGTGTGTGTGTGTGTGTGCATGCATGCCCACACATGTGTCTATGAATAAGTATTTGGGTTAAAGTGGATCATGCTATATATACCGTTTTACAGCTAACTTTTCCATTCTACAATATATTGCGAGAATCTTTCCATATCAATCCATATAAATTTATAATATTATTTTTAATGATTACAGAGTAATATACTCATTGGTGTGCACAAGCCACAATTTATTTAAACAGTTTGTGACTTTAAATGGTTTTTGAGAAAGCTACTTACTATAATGGTAAATATATGAAGATACAGAAGTAGATGGTATAGTAAATAATATAGCTCATCCTATATCCTGTCTTCACCATTGAGTAACAGGGGTGTTTCCTAGGTGAAAGCTGAACTGGTAACAAAATCTCTGGTTTTAACATAATGTAACATGTCTGATTAAATTTTTTGGTATATGTGAATAGACTGACAGGAATGTCAAGCTTAGGGTTTTCAACTCAAAGTCACCTAGGGTGCACCAAAATTGTGTGAGCTGGAGTATGGAGCTTTCTCAATGTGTTACAGAACATCTAGGGCATTTCTGTCATTTAGCTGACATGCACGACGGACCACAAAATGGTGAATGTCAGCTTGCATTTTGTAGTTTTGAACAGGCAGCCTCTATTCCACTTCTCTTGCTTTAATGAAGTTGACACAAGAATTCTAGAGAAAAAAGTTCTAGTTCTATGCATCCTGAATGAGTGTTTGAAGGTCAATTTTAGAACTTATTGTTACAAAGATCAATTAAGTATATGAGGTGAAATTATGTTTTGAATGTCATATAAAGGATCTGATGAATGATACATATTGTCTTGGGATAAGCCTAATCAAAATCCATTAATTGGTTTTACATATTTATGACTAAACCTTTGAAAAAGTTACTTAAAGGTGAACAAATCTAAGCAGACAAATACAACAATTGGATGCAAGCCAGGAAATCTTGAGCAAGAGGAAAACTTTCACTTTTTAAAATATAAAACTAAAGCCCTCACTTTATATGTGATGGCAATGCTTTGGAAATATATAAAAAGCAAGGATCTCCCTCAATAAAAATAAGTAAGTAGAATCTTCATCAATATAATCCCAGAGACAGGAAGATAGTTATTTTAATGTGATTTATTTAGCTAAAAGTAAATGTGAGGCTCTTGAGAGGGCAAACCACTGCATTAGAGAGTGATTTGGAACATTTTTTGCAAACTAACAGAATAAAATCAACTTCGGTATAAGAAGGTAAATAAAATCTAGCAGCCAAAGATAAAAATAAATCTAGAATTAACAAATCCAGGGCTTAAGCAGTAATTAAATAACCCAGATTTCACCCTTTTGTGATAGAACAGGTACATTTAAATGCTATTAACACTTTTTTTAATTCCATTGATTTCTCCATGGATACATATGTGAACAAATATATTAACCATCTCTTTCCTCTCAAATGGTAAAACTGTTTCTTTGGACCACTGTGCAACTAGTTTCTGGACCTACCATGTGTAACATTTGTTCCACAAAATTTAGTTCTTACCAGGTTTTTTGTAATCACTCCCAAAGGCTCATGTTAGTTCTATTGTCATTGATCCCAGGAGCCTTTTTAGATATAGGCTGTAATCCACTAGCTAAACGAAGCAAGTTTTCTCTAAAGCTCTCAGCAGAGTTTGATTTGGTGCTATGTTGCACAATTCCAAGCTGTGAGTTCTCCTGCTTATCAGTTAAAAATTAACTTTAAGATACAGGCCGAGTGCGGTGGCTCACGCCTGTAATCCCGGCATTTTGGGAGGCCAAGACGCGCGGCTCACAAGATCAGGAGACGGAAACCATCCTGGCCAACATGGTGAAACCCCGTCTCTATTAAAAATACAAAAAATTAGCCAGGCGTGGTGGCACGTGCCTGTAATCCCAGCTACTCGGGAGGCTGAGGCAGGAGAATTGCTTGAACCCAGGAGGCAGAGGTTGCAGTGATCCAAAATCATGCCATTGCACTCCAGCCTGAGCGACAGAGCAAGACTTGGTCTTAAAAGTAAATAAATAAATAAATAAATAAATAAATAAATAAATAGATAGATAAATAAATAAAATACACTGTGTGCATATTGTCCTTACTTTCATGTCATGTCCCCCCAGATTCTCTGATCTACAAATGAACAAATTCCTGTTCAGTCTTAAGGAGAAAAAAAAAAGTCTCTCCTTTAGGGATGAGGGTTCTATTCTGCCTAGGTTTCTAACTTTTTATGTAAAAGCATCAACGCATACTCAGGAAATTAACCTAGGAATAGTCATGAATGAGGCCTTCTAGCTATATTTTTTTCACTGTTGGTGGAGAAGTATTAGAATCAACTGTCAGGTAAGAAGGTCATTGGCTTAAGCTAAGCACTAAGCACTGGCTTGAAACAGAGGAGACCAATCACAGCTGCAACCAGCCTGAAAATGCATTTGGTGTGTATTCCTTTAAAGTCATAACATTTGGTTAATTTTAGAAAAAGGAACAAATTGAGGTTTAATGTTCATAATATATTTTTAAAAGTAGGACACACTTTATTAATAATACCATACTGGTAAATATTATTGTTATAAATAATGATGATTTTTTCCCACCTTCTGTGAACTAAATAGAATTTTCCCTGGGATCTGGGATTATGGCAAGTGGATGAATTCTATTCTACAGGCGAATTAACTACCACTGTTTCTTGACCAATACTGTTCAGATGGTATCAGTAAGTTTTAGAGCTTACCAGGTTTGTACTAAATCATGAGTCAAGTTTCAAACACAAATCAATTTCTAGTGAAAGCAATTCTGTCCCAGTGCCTCTGTTTTATTATTTTGTGATATGAAGATTGATAGCCAAAACTTTTAGAGTTGTAAAGCATGCCCCCTGAATAAGTCATTTCCTAAGATGATTTAATCAGCAGCTGTATCTTACGGAAAGTCACACTTTCCAAACTGAGCTGGTGATTATGCTTGTGCACTGGCTTTAAACCCCACCTTCACTACTCACCAGCTATGTGACCTTAAACAAGCATTTTGCCTCACTGGGCCTTATATAAAGTGATTCATGTAAAATGCTTCACACAATACTTGATACACAGTGAGTACTCAATAAAACTTAACTATTATTCATTTATTATTCCAGTATAATCAACTAACTACCAAGTGTCCATTTCTTGTGTACAAGATGCTAGAGACAGAAAAGACATAAATGATACTATCACAAAAGATATATGATCTAGTTAGGAAGGTACAATTGAAGAATGAACAGAAACGCAAGTGCACATCTGAAAATAAAAGATAAGTCATTCCAAAGTGAGTGATAGGAGAGAAGTAGGGTTAGTCAAAGAAGATTTCATGGAATAAGTGAATCCAATCCGCATCTTAAGTTAAATGAAGACTGCAGGCTAATGAAAATTGGGGAAGATGTTCTAGGCAAAGACAAATAAAAAAGTCACAGTGAAGAAAATTAACAACATGGGATGAGGAAGTGTGGTGCTGAGGTAATGTAAATAAGAGAAAATAAAGATGCTCCACAAAAATAGAAGAAAATAAAGAGGCCCAACAGAAACAGAGAGGTCATTTGCAGGAATGTTATATAAGCTGCAGTAATTAGGAAAAAGAAACTAGACAACTGCTACAAAAATAAACAATAAAAATCAGTATAGTTTCTGGGAAGAGAAAAATAACTTGTCAAAAATTACATTTGAAACATTGCGCCAGCAACTGTAGGCTGCATACATTGGGTCAAGGAAATACCAGAAGCACAGAGGTGGCAGGTGAAGTTCTTCAAGCAAACGAACTCTCTCTGAGGGAGTTATTAAAGGAAATAAAAGCAGAGAGCAAGGCCAAACTTGATGAAAGTCCACAATTAGCTGCAGCCTGTACAAGAGAGATATAAAAAATACAGGAGGAGAAATGAGAAGAAGGGGCATAATAAAGTACAGAAGAAAGTCTGGTCTCTAATGCACAGAGCAATGAAAAAATTGAGAAGAATATGAATTAGAAGGAGGGGGAGGCAAATTTGGGTTTGAAAATAGTTACTAGGGTAAAAACTGAAATCAGAAGGGTAGCTTGATGCCAGATCATGTAGAACTAGATCAATGTAGGATTCCTGCATTGTCCTTTTACTCAGTAAAAAATCTGAAGCAATCATGATTGGGTCTATATTTTAGAGATATAATTCTGCCCAACAGTATAAAGAAAATAATGAGGACAAAGCAAGTTGAAGGCAGGGAGATATTTAAGGGATCACCTACAAAACTCAGTGTGAGAGAAGTGGACATAGGAAAGAAGAGAAGAGGAATTTAAGAAAAATCTGAGATGTAGAATCGATATGATCTAGTGGCTAACAGGTCCTCTTAATTGCTGGTCTTTATTACAAATAAATTATCCAGTTTGGGCATAAAGAGGAAAGATTACAAAGCATTTGTTTTGAAAACGCTGAGTGTGAATGGCCTGGAGGATATGCAAATAGGCAGATACTAACTGGTATCTGGAATCTGGAAGAGAGAAGCAGTGATTGTTTGTAGGAAAGACTGTAAACCTTAAGGTGACATGCACATATAAATATTCCTAATGTGTCTAGTTACCCAAAGAAAGTATTTTCCTAGTCTGCTGTACAGCAGTTTAAAATAGTGATCATCTTAATTGTAATTGGCTTTTATATGATGGGTACATGCTATCTATTGTATTTCAAGTTAATTCAATTTCATTTGGAAGAATTGTTATTTCCTTGGCCATGTACAAAATTAAATTTAGTACTCTTTCTCAGGAAGTAATTTTTAGAAATATTAAAATAAAACAGACAGTAAATTATTAATCTGTGATTCAATTTTATAAAACAAAAATCTATCTGAACAAGATGAGTCATAATGTTATGTGTAAAACTAAAAACATTTTTAAATAATATCATTTGTATAAAAAGATCAATTGGTCTGATACATATTTGATTGTAATTTTTAAAATTTAAATATGTTTCTTTTTACAGCAGTATATTTTTCAAACAGATTCCTTAGGAGATTTAATGCAACCTTATGATCACGGAAGTGGCGAAAATTCCATCACCAATCACTCAGTTACTTCATTTGGGACCCATGACAAATAGTTGATTAGATTTTTACAGGATATATTAAAGGATACTGTCGAATTTCTTTTCAAAGTTTATATAAAGATACAGAACTCAATACAGTATAATGTACTTACATTTCCTCTCATGAGCTGTGAGTCTGGTGCTACATATTGAGGACACGATTTTTAACTTTAAAGCTCAAACTCCTATGGCATAATTATGTTGAAGATTAGTATCTCATGACAGAATTTCCCCATTTATCCTCTCTTCTCCACAGAAATAAAACTTTTCTTTTTGTAATTAATTGTTGGGGGTTTTGTTTGTTTCTCAAGCCAACAATGCTATCTTTCTTTGGTAGTGATAAATGTTTTTCCTCTTTCTTTTTTTTTCTTTGTTTTTTTTTTTTTTTGGCGATTTCTTTTCTTTTTTTTTATTATTATACTTTAAGTTTTAGGGTACATGTGCACAATATGCCAGTTAGTTACATATGTATACATGTGACATGCTGGTGCACTGTACCCACTAACTCTTCATCTAGCATTAGGTATATCTCCCAGTGCTATCCCTTCCCCCGTCCCCCCACCCCACAACAGTCCCCAGAGTGTGATGTTCTCCTTCCTGTGTCCATGTGTTCTCATTGTTCAATTCCCACCTATGAGCGAGAATATACGGTGTTTGGTTTTTTGTCCTTGCGATAGTTTACTGAGAATGATGATTTCCACTTTCATCCATGTCCCTACAAAGGACATGAACTCATCATTTTTTATGGCTGCATAGTATTCCATGGTGTATATGTGCCACATTTTCTTAATCCAGTCGATCATTGTTGGACATTTGGGTTGATTCCAAGTCTTTGCTATTGTGAATAGTGCCGCAATAAACACGTGTGCATGTGTCTTTATAGCAGCATGATTTATAGTCCTTTGGGTATATACCCAGTAATGGGATGGCTGGGTCAAATGGTATTTCTAGTTCTAGATCCCTGAAGAATTGCCACACTGACTTCCACAATGGTTGAACTAGTTTACAGTCCCACCAACAGTGTGAAAGTGTTCCTATTTCTCCACATCAGTTTCACTCCATGTTATCACTGCTTCCCCTCAATTCCAGAGATGCCTTACAAATACCAAATAGAAAACCTCAGTTAAGAGAGAAGAATTTTCATGAAAAATTAATAACAATTCTGACAAAGCTACCACACATCTTAAAATGATACTCTAAAGTCATTCTCTTGACAAAATAACTGAACCTTGAAATCTACACATTCTTTTAGAAAATACTTTTCAGCTCAAAGTAACATTTAATAAATAGTTACTGTTACATAAAATGCTAATGATGACAATGAGGTCAGATTAGAAATCTTCAGATTAATGAAGGTAATTTATCCAAAGTGTGAGAGAAAATAAAAATATTTTTACACGTGGGGGGAGGTTACCTTAGGGCAATGTTAAGTTTCGAGCCCTGCTGTCATTATGTTAAAACCATGTATTCTAAGAACAGTATGTTCCTTTTCCTTTTTGTTAAGACTGCAATTTTTAAGTCATTTAAATAATTCACAGAAAAAAATAGTAATCTTAAAAATTAATTCTAGTATGCCCTAGATGACAGGCAAGTGTTGAAAAAATAAATTTCTCATCTAAGCACTATGAGTGACATGACCATCTGGAGCGCTAATTCTAAATCTTCTGAGATCACAATTAATTTTTCTTTATCCTTATACAAATATTTGCTGTGTCCTAAGGTCTTGCTCACCCAGAGCCTCTGTCCTTGTAGGTCATTTTTTAAAATAGATATACACACCCAAACCTCACTTTGGTTGAGTTATAACTTACATACAGTAAAGTACACAAGTCACGCGTATGGAGCTCCATGTGTACATATCTATGTACCCCTAGAGCCTCCTAGATTAAAACATAAGTCATTTCTCACACTCCACAAAGCTCTCCTGTGCGCTTACCCAGTCAAAAATCAACCCTTGAAGGTAACCACTTTCCTAGCTAGCATCATCACAGGTCACTTTTGCCTGCTCCTGGATTTCACATGAATTGAATGTATTCTATCATGTCTGTTTTTTTTTTCCACCCAACATTATGTCCATGAGATTCATCAATATCATTGGATGAAGTAGTTTTCCTTCATTTCTGTATTTTCTTGATGAATATGCCAATTTATTTACTCTTCTTGTGGCTGATGGTCATTTGGTTATTTCCGGTTTTTTAATATAAATAATGCCACTATAGACATTTTTTATAAGCAACTTATTTTTAATTGCTTAGTTTTAGGTTACATGTATGTTAGTTAGTGTGTTAACTTATATTAGCTTCAGAAGATGGTAACACACAGCTTCCCAACTGGTAGTACCAATGTACCCTCCCACTATTCAATGTATTTTCTTTTTTTTTTTCTTTTTTTTTTTTTTTACATGCAGTATGATTTATTTTATATAATGTTCAAAAGCTTGCAAAAACAGCATATTGTTTACAGATGCATATTTTGGAGGTAAAATTATGAAGAAAAGCGAGATCATTATAAACAAAATTTAGGAGGGGGCTGGGATGGAGAAGGGCATGCAAAAGGGCTTTAACGTGTTGGTTGTAATCTGTATCTTAAACTGGTTATGGGTAGTAGGGTGTCCAGTTTTTTTTTTTATTTTTTTTTTATTGATCATTCTTGGGTGTTTCTCACAGAGGGGGATTTGGCAGGGTCATAGGACAATAGTGGAGGGATGGTCAGCAGATAAACAAGTGAACAAAGGTCTCTGGTTTTCCTATGCAGAGGACCCTGCGGCCTTCCGCAGTGTTTGTGTCCCTGGGTACTTGAGATTAGGGAGTGGTGATGACTCTTAACGAGCATGCTGCCGTCAAGCATCTGTTTAACAAAGCACATCTTGCACCACCCTTAATCCATTTAACCCTGAGTGGACACAGCACATGTTTCAGAGAGCACAGGGTTGGGGGTAGGGTCACCCATCAACAGGATCACAAGGCAGAAGAATTTTTCTTAGTACAGAACAAAATGAAAAGTCTCCCGTGTCTACCTCTTTCTACACAGACATGGCAACCATCCGATTTCTCAATCCTTTCCCCGCCTTTCCCCACTTTCTATTCCACAAAACCGCCATTGTCATCATGGCCCGTTCTCAATGAGCTGTTGGGTACACCTCCCAGACGGGGTGGTGGCTGGGCAGCGGGGCTCCTCACTTCCCAGTAGGGGCGGCCGGGCAGAGGCGCCCCTCACCTCCCGGACCGGGCAGCTGGCCGGGCGGGGGCTGACCCCCCCACCTCCCTCCCCGACGGGGCGGCTGGCCGGGTGGGGGGCTGACCCCCCCACCTCCCTCCCGGACGGGGCAGCTGGCCGGGCGGGGGCTGACCCCCCCACCTCCCTCCCCGACGGGGCGGCTGGCCGGGTGGGGGGCTGACCCCCCCACCTCCCTCCCGGACGGGGCGGCTGGCCGGGCGGGGGGCTGACTCCCCCACCACCCTCCCGGACGGGGCGGCTGGCCGGGCAGAGGGGCTCCTCACTTCCCAGTAGGGGCGGCCGGGCAGAGGCGCTCCTCACCTCCCGGACAGGGCGGCTGGCCGGGCAGGGGGCTGACCCCCCCACCTCCCTCCCGGACAGGGGTGGCTGGCCTGGCGGGGGGCTGACTCCCCCACCACCCTCCCGGACGGGGCGGCTGGCCGGGCGGGGGGCTGACCCCCCCACCTCCTTCCCGGACGGGGCGGCTGGCCGGGCAGAGGGGCTCCTCACTTCCAAGTAGGGGTGGCCAGGCAGAGGCGCCCCTCACCTCCCAGACGGGGCGGCTATTCAATGTATTTTCTATTTAGCATTTTTGGATCCTTTTTGTAATTAAATTACAATTTTTGTCAGCTGTACATAAAATAATCCATCAAAGTGCTCTTCTTTTAAGTTAGGGTGCCTCTTTCCTCATCAAATAAATGACTTAAATATAAACACAATTTTAGCATATAAGATGAAGAGTGGGAAATCCATAATTCAACATGATTATCAAATGTAATATTGGAATATATTGAATAAATATATTTTTAAATGTAATTTTAACAAATCTCAGAAAAGTGTTTTGAGTGGCATTCTGGTCCTGCCATAAAATTATGTAAGTTACTAATAGAAATGGTCTGGATTTTGTGACAGGGCCCACAATATTGAAAATACATCCACATATTTAAATGCATAGTTAAAATTAAGTAAGGGCAGATTCAAATTTCTTGTCACCATACAAAATACAGAAAACACCAAATAAAGATCTTTGCACTGCTGGTCAGGTTAAAAGACAGAACATGCCAATTTAAATTCAAATGGACCACTGCAGCTCCACATTACATTAAGGGGAAAAATAACCTAAGTCATCTTGCTATTATAGTTGCAGAAAATTTCATACATAAGTAAATGTTTCTTTAAGTTTATATGAAGACTATTGTTTTAACAAAAGCTTGATACAGCAAGAAAAGAGACTATGGCTTTGCTGAGAATCTGGGTCACAGAACATAAAACTCAGCCTGATTCTAAAGTAAAGGAAAAGAGCAAACGTGCAATAATGGAGAACATGGATAGAATCCTGTAGCTACCATGTACTAGTGGTATTAAGCTAGTCATTAAGTCTTCCTGATATTCCACTTCTTTTCCTCTACAAAGGATTATAATATCTACCTAGAAGACTATTGCGAGCATTAAGTAAGGTGGTAACTCCCAAGAGCCATTAGACTACCTGGTAGATTTCAGTGGGCTTCAATTACACATCAGTCACCTGGAAAGCTTTTAAAAATCCCAATGCCCAGGCCACATCTCCGACCAATTAAATCAGAATCTCTGTGGGTAGGACCCCAGGCACCAGTATTTCTTAAAGCTCCCAGGTAATTCTGAATTTGCAGTCAAATTGTGTATACTTAGAAGAGATCCACATACTAAAGGTATAAATAGAGAAGATAGGGCAGATACCATTTAGTGGAGTGCGGTAGTGGAGAAAGAAATGCAAAACCAGCCAGGTGTGGTGGCTCACACCTGTAATCCCAGCAGTTTAAGAGGCCAAGATGGGCAGATCACCTGAAGTCAGGAGTTTCAGACCAGCCTGGACAACATGGCAAAACTCCGTCTCTACTAAAAATATAAAAATTAGCCAGGTGGGGTGGCACCTGCCTGTAATCCCAGCTACATGGGAGGCTGAGGCAGGAGAATTGCTTGAACCAGGGAGGCGGAGGTTGCAGTGAGCCAAGGTTGTGCCATTGAAATCCAGCCTGGGTGACAACAGTGAGACTCCATCTCAAAAAAAGAAAAAAAGAAAGAAAGAAGAAGAAACACAAAACCACAGTGGGAATCAGGAGGCAGTCCGTACTATGACTTGGCTCAGATCATGGAGAAGAGGGTAGGAACAGCATGTAGTAACTCCAATGACAAATCTCTCCCATCATGACTTTGAATCACTCTGCTAGGTCTTTACAGTGTCAGAAACATCTGCTTTATCTTCATGCCCAATTTGCTTTATTCCTTTTCCTTTCTAATTTAGCATTTGACTTTCATAAAATGAATGCATGCAAAGGAAAGTCTATTTTAGGCTATGGAGAATCTTTTATTAATATAGATGTACAGAAATATAAGTTAAAAGGTTTCCTAGATTTCATAAATTTCACCATGCTAAAATTATTGGGCCAATTTACCTTTGCGGGAAAGAACATCAATCTTCCTTCCAAAACACGTTGAAGATAAATTGTCATAATTTAATCCTTTCCATTATAGCTCCCCTGTTCTATTATGTGAAATATTTAAAATATAATTTTTCTAAACTGTCCAAAATAGAATTATAGCCTATAAATTCTTACAAAATCTTCAAGACAACAAACGTTAAATTCCATGCCTAAGTTAATAAATATGTATGCTTATTCAATTTTTTAATGAATAAATCCCAGGAATCAAAGAAATCTTGAGAAAATTATTATGCTAACCCTATTAAGTAGCCCAAAAACTATTTAAAATATAAATATTTTTTGAATTTTATTATTTTTATGGTAGTTGTAGGAATAGGGTAATAGGAAGCATAATGTGTGCTACTAAGTGTTCACAATACATGAATGCTTTTCTTTTGCAATTTTTTATTTTATTATCCTTCTAGTTTAACAGAAGTTACAGTGATGACTACAAAAATAAAAGACAAATTGATCTATTTCCAGTGAATTTTATGAACTAAGGCATGTAATACCCATGATCCAATTGAAAATACTCATTATGTTTCTCAATGATTGAGATAATTGCCTGGACTCAACTCTGCACTTTGCTGCTTAGCTTATGTATAAATGATTTGAAATGTCATCTATAAGCTACCTCAAAGCTCCTATAATTATGAAAGTTTTATAATCATATCAGTTTAGAACTAGAGCAATCCAGAGAAATCATGTAGCTCATTCAACTCTTAATTCCTCAGATGAAAAAACAGATTTAGATAACCTAAATTTTCAATCATAACCAATTAGAGGTAGAGGAGATTAGCACCCAGGTCTCAGGCTTACAAATCCAGTGGTTGTTTCTTATATTATAGCATGATACCTTCAGTCATGCTAAAAATTTTTTTAAAAAAGATTTAACACCTCATTGATTTTAGCGTATCAGTGAAACTGAACAGATACATTGCTAATTAAAGGAATTTAATGTAATTAATATTTTTTAAAAAGTTGCCTGCAAGACTATACTTTCAGGGATCATTTCTATGGTTCATTACTAGGGAAGTTTCCCTGAATGTGTAGAGCACCGAAAACACTCTTCAGGATACTATCCAGAAGAATTTCCCCAACCTAGCAAGGTAGGCCAATATTCAAATTCAGGAAATACAGAGAACACCACAAAGACATTCCTCGAGAAGAGCAATCCCAACACACATAATCGTCAGATTCACCCAGGTTGAAATGAAGGAAAAAGTGCTAAGGGCAGCCAGAGAGAAAGGTCAAGTTACCCACAAAGGGAAGCCCATCAGACTAACAGCAGATCTCTCAACAGAAACTCTACATGCCAGAAGAGAGTGGGGGCCAATATTCAACATTCTTAAAGAAAAGAATTTTCAACCCAGAATTTCATATCCAGCCAAACTAAGCTTCATAAGTGAAGGAGAAATAAAAGGCTTTACAGACAAGGAAATGCTGAGAGATGTTGTCACCACCAGGCCTGCCCTACAAGAGCTCCTGAAGGAAGCACTAAACATGAAAAGATACAACCAGTACCATCCACGACAAAAACATGCCAAATTGTAATAACCATAGACACTATGAAGAAACTGCATCAACTAATGGGCAAAATAGCCAGCTAGCATCATAAAGACAGGATCAAATTCACACATAACAATATTAACTTTAAATGTAACTGGGCTAAATGCCCCAGTTAAAAGATACAGACAGGCAAACTGGATAAAGAGTCAAGACCCATCAGTGTGCTGTATTGAGCAGACCCATCTCACATGCAAAGACACATATAGGCTCAAAATTAAGGGATGGAGGAAGATCTACAAAGCAAATGAAAAGCAAAAAAAGCGGGGGTTGCAATCCTAGTCTCTGATAAAACAGACTTTAAACCAACAAAGATCAAAAGAGACAAAGAAGGGCATTACATAATGGTAAAGGGATCAATGCAACAAGAAGAGCTAACTATCCTAAATATATATGCACCCCATACAGGAGCACCCAGATTCATAAAGCAAGTTCTTAGAGACCTACAAAGAGACTTAGACTCCCACACAATAATAGTGGGAGACTTTAAGACCCCACTGTCAATATTAGACAGATCAACGAGACAGAAAATTAACAAGGATATCCAGGGCTTGAACTCAGCTCTGGACCAAGTGGACTTACTAGACATCTACAGAACTCTCCACCCTAAATCAACAGAATATACACTCTTCTCAGCACCACATCACACTTATTCTAAAACTGACCACATAATTGGAAACAAAACACTCCTCACCAAATGTAAAAGAGCAGAAATCACAACAAACTGTCTCTCAGACCACAGTACAATCAAACTAGAACTCAGGATTAAGAAACTCACTCAAAACCGCACAACTACATGGAAACTGAACAACCTGCTCCTGAATGACTATTGCGTAAATAATGAAATGCAAGCAGAAATAAAGATTTTCTTTGAAACCAATGAGAACAAAGACAAAACATACCAGAATCTCTGGGACACCTTTAAAGCAGTGTGTAGAGGGAAATTTATAGCACTAAATGCCCACAAGAGAAAGGAGGAAAGATCTAAAATCGACACCCTAAAATCACAATTAAAAGAACTAGAAAATCAAGAGCAAACACATTCAAAAGCTAGCAGAAGACAAGAAATAACTAAGATCAGAGCAGAACTGAAGGAGATAGAGACACAAAAAACCCTTCAACAAATCAATGAATCCAGGAGCTGATTTTTTGAAAAGATCAACAAAATAGATAGACTGCTAGCAAGACTAATAAAGAAGGAAAGAGAGAAGAATCAAATGGATGAAATAAAAAATGATAAAGGGGATATTACCACTGATCCCACAGAAAGAATACTATAAACACCTGTAAGCAAATAAACTAGAAAATCTAGAAGAAATGGATAAATTCCTCGACACATACACCCTCCCAAGACTAAACTAGGAAGAAGTCGAATCTCTGAATAGACCAATAACAGGTTCTAAAATTGAGGCAATAATTAATAGCCTACCAACCAAAAAAAGTCCAGGACCAGATACTTTCTATTTTGATAGAAAGTATCTCAAAATAAAAAGAGCTATTTATGACAAACCCAAAGCCAATATCATACTGAATGGGCAAAAACTGGAAGCATTCCCTTCGAAAACTGGCACAAGACAAGGATGCCCTCTCTCACCACTCCTATTCAACATAGTTTTGGAAGTTCTGCTCAGGGTAATCAGGCAAGAGAAAGAAATAAAGAGTATTTGATTAGGAAAAGAATAAGTCAAATTGTCTCTGTTTGCAGATGACATGACTGTATATTTAGAAAACTCCATCGTCTCAGCCCAAAATCTCCTTAAGCTAATAAGCAACCTCAGCAAAGTCTCAGGATAAAAAATCAATGTGCAAAAACCACAGACATTCCTATACAGCAATAACAGACAGAGAGCCAAACCATGAGTAAAGTACCATTCACAATTGCTATTAAGAGAATAAAATACCTAGGAATACAACTTACAAGGTATGTGAAGGACCTCTTCAAGGAGACTAAAATGACTGCTCAAGGAAATAAAAGAAGACACAAACAAATGGAAGAATATTCCATGCTCATGGATAGGAAGAATCAATATCATGAAAATGGCCATACTGCCCAAATTAATTTACAGTTTCAATGCTATCCCCATCAAGCTACCACAATTTTCCTCACAGAATTGGAAAAAACTACTTTGAATTTCATATGGAACCAAAAAAGAGCCTGTATAGCCAAGACAATCCTAAGCAAAAAGAACAAAGCTGGAGGCATCATGCTACCTGACTTCAATCTATACTACAAGGCTACAGAAACCAAAACAGCAAGGTACTGGTACCAAAACAGATATATAGACCAATGGAACAGAACAGAGGCCTCAGAAAAAACACCACACATCTACAACCATCTGATCTTTGACAAACCTGACAAAAACAAGAAATGCAGGAAAGATTCCCTATTTAATAACTGGTGCTGGGAAAACTGGTTAGCCACATGCAGAAAGCTGAAACTGGACCCCTTCCTTACACTGTATACAAAAATTAACTCAAGATGGATTAAAGATTTAAATGTAAGACCTAAAACCATAAAAACCCTAGAAGAAAACCTAGTCAATACCATTCAGGACATAGGCATGGGCAAAGACTTCATGACTAAAACACCAAAAGCAACAGCAACAAATGCCAAAATAGACAAATGGGATCTAATTAAACTAAAGAACTTCTGCACAGGAAAAGAAACTATCAGCAGAGCGAACAGACAACCTACAGATTGGGAGAAAATTTTTGTAATCTATCCATCTGACAAAGGCTAATATCCAGAATCTACAAAGAGCTTAAAAAAATTTACAAGAAGAAAACAACCCCATCAAAAAATGAGCAAATGATATGAACAGACACTACTCAAAAGAAGACATTTATGCAGCCAACAGACATATGAAGAAATGCTCATCATCACTGGTCATTAGAGAAATGCAAATCAAAACCACAATGAGATACTATCTCACACCAGCTAGAATGGCGATCATTAAAAAGTCAGGAAACAACAGATGCTGCAGAGGATGTGAAGAAATAGGAATGCTTGGCCGGGCGCGGTGGCTCACGCCTGTAATCCCAGCACTTTGGGAGGCCGAGGCGGGCGGATCACGAGGTCAGGAGATCGAGACCACGGTGAAACCCCGTCTCTACTAAAAATACAAAAAAAAAATTAGCCGGGCGCAGTGGCGGGCGCCTGTAGTCCCAGCTACTCGGGAGGCTGAGGCAGGAGAATGGCGTGAACCCAGAAGGCGGAGCTTGCAGTGAGCGGAGATCGCGCCACAGCACTCCCGCCTGGGCGACAGAACGAGACTCCGTCTCAAAAAAAAAAAAACAAAAAACAAAAAACAACAAAAAAAAAAAAAAAAAAAAAAAAAAAAAGAAATAGGAATGCTTTTACACTGTTGGTGGGAGTGTAAATTAGTTCAACCATTATGGAAGACAGTGTGGCGATTCCTAAATGATCTAGAACTAGAAATACCATTTGATCCAGCAATCCCATTATTTAGTATATACCCAAGGATTATAAATCATTCTACTATAAAGACACATTGCACACATATGTTTACTGCAGCACTGTTCACAATAGCAAAGTCTTGGAACCAACTCAAATGTCCATCAATGATAGACTGGATAAAGAAAATGAGGTACATATATGCCACAGAATACTATGCAGCCATAAAAAAGGATGAGTTCATGTCCCTTGCAGGGACATGGATCAAACTGGAAACCATCATTCTCAGCAAAGTAACACAAGAAGAGAAAACCAAACACCACATGTTTTCACTCATAAATGGGAGTTGAATAATGAAAACACATGGACACAGGGAGGGGAACATCACACACCAGGGCCTGTCAGGGGGTGGGTGCCTGGGGGAGGGAAAGCATTAGGAGAAATACCTAATGTAAATGACGAGTTGATGGGTGCAGCAAACCAACATGGCACATGTATACCTATGTAACAAACCTGCACATTGTGCAAATGTACACCAGAACTTAAAGTATAATAATAAAAAAAGAATACTGCACACCCCTCCCCCAAAAAAAATGTTGCCTGCAAGTCATTTTCTTGTAGGTTGGATCTCCTTTAAGTTCAATAAAGTATACTGATTGAGAGAAGTATTCTAAAGATGCTTTAGAAAAATACGTTGCTATTTACAATGTATTACTTAAATATATTTGATCCAGCAGCATTGACATCACTAAAAGATTGTTAGAAAAGCTGAAAGTCAGGGTGCACCTTAAATCCAATTAAACAGTATCTACATTTTAACGGCTTCCCAGGAGCCCTGGGAAGCTGTATATTCGCTCAAGTTTGAGAAGTATGGCAGCCAGCTCCAGCCCATCCAAGGAAAGGGACATTAAATACAATCTGGTCAGCAGGCCTCATTGATCAAACATGTCAGTTAGAGACCTGCACACTTAATGAAGATCTCATAGCTGATCTGAGGCTAAGTTAGAATTTAGGCATTCCAACTCTATACTATACCATGTTAGAGCATTGTGTGATACTTACTGCCCCAGAGCAAATCCGTTCCTCCATACAGATAGTATAAGAAGGGAAAGCAATCTACACTTCAGACTGCTGCAACTGTTCTGGTTCCAAGCCATCTTATACTAAATATAGGACTAAAACAAACAAACAAAGGGCCTAGCTTTCTTCCACCCAGGGATGCTAAAAGGAAGAAAAGTTAAGGCAGTTTATATATGCAATTGCAACATTTCTTGTGAGTGTAAGGTTTGCTGAAGATTTTGGTAGAGAATCTTTATCAATTTAAGAAAGAATTCCCTTTGATTTTACTTTGTGCTGAGAATTTTGTTTATAAATAATTACTTAATGCTATTAGATGATTTTCTGCAACGATTTTAGATATGTTTTTTCTTTTTAACATGTTAATATTGTGATCTGATTTTCAAAGTTTGAGCTACATTGTATTCATAAAATGAAATCATAGTGATATTTTCCTACATGTTTACCTTTTTATTTGTTCACTATTCCTTTGTGCAGAATTTCCTAACATTATTTTTTTTCTTCTGGAAATAAATAATTTAGGAGTACCCCTGGTGTATATCTGTTGGTGTTGAATTATCTCAGCTTCTGTTATTTTGAAAATATCTTTCATTTGTCTTTATTTGTGAGGGGCAATTTTCCTGGATATAATTCCAGGATATAAGTACTCTAAGCTCTTGAAAAACACAAGTTAGTGTCTTCCATCTTCAATTGTTGCCATTAAAACGTTAGATGCAGAGCAGCATTCTGGGGAGATAGTGGAGTAGGAAGCATGAAGAAACTGTCTCTGTACTTAAACAACAAATGCACTCTCAGAATGTTTGATGGAACTATTTTGGAACTATTGAGTCTATGAAAGGCTTGCAAATTCTGGTAACGCATCGATGGTAAATTTCAGCTCTTAGCACAATAGCAGCTCCTCATTCTCAACCCTCATCCTTCTGACGGAAAAATGTGCAGGGATTAGAAGAGCAGCTTGCACACAGCTTGTGGAAAGCAGGGTACCCTCAAAGCACTCTGTCCTCCAAATATTAGGAATCTGTGATCCTGTCAGTGATTGCTGCTTCTGATCACAGAGGTGCAGAAAAATGATGGGCAGCCATTTTGTTGCACTTTCCCCATTGTTGCCAATAAATTCCCCTTGAGACGAAGTGACTTTCAGAATATTTAAAGGACCACAACATCATCCATCCATTCCTCATTTCTCATTTTTCTATTTTTCCCATTTTTGCAGCAAGACATAGAAGGACAGGACATTGAAAAGCAATTTCATAGATGAAGAAAATTAGAAAGTGACCATGTATGCTGAGGAAAAGGCACAGATTCAGAAAAGACCTGAGAAGACCTTAAGTTTACACTTTGAAGTAATTCTCGTTATAAAGACAGCATGAAAATTAAACAATAATAATGATATAATAATAATAATAATAATAAGCAAAACACCCTGAAAAGGGGGGAAATGTGATTTCCAAATTTACTACATAATTAGATTCAAATGTCCAGTTTCAACAAACTTCACGAGATATTCAAAGAAGCAGAAAAGTATGACCCACTCAAAAAAAAAGAAAAAAGCAACAATAATTGACCCTGAAAAAGATCTAATGGCAGATATACTAGACAAAGACTAAGACAACTGCCTCAAAGATCCTAAATGGCATCTTTAAGATATGGAGTCAAGAAAATAATTTATTTAAAAAATGGAAATATCAACAAGGAGATGGGAAATCTAAAAAGAACCAAAAATACATTCTAGAAATGAAAAGTACAATAACAGAAATGAAAAATTCATTAGAAGTATCCAATGGCAGAGTTAAGTAGGCAGATAAAAGAATCAGCAAAGTCGAGGAAAAGACAATGTAAATAAGTGAGTCTGAATAAAATTTTTAAAAAATTTAAGAAAGGTGAACAGAACCTATGAAACAGAGTCAAGCATATTAACTTACACATTGTGGAAATCTTAGAAGTAAAAGAGACCTAGATGAAGGCAGAAATAACATTTCAAGAAATAATGGCTGAATATTCCTCAAATTTGATAACAGACATAAATGTAAACATCCAAAAGGTCGATGAACTTCAATTACAATGAATTCAAAGAGAACAATTTCAAAACACATTATAATAAAACTTTGAAAAGAAAAAGGCAAATAGAAAATTTTTAAGGCAGCAAAAAGCATTTCATCACGTACAAGGGATTCTCAATAAGATTGTCAGCAGATTTCTCATCAGAAACTATACAGACCAGAAGGCAGTGGGCGATATATTGAAAATGCTACAAGAAAAAAAATGTCAATCAAGAATCCTGTATCCTGCAATACTGTCTTCAAACCTAAAAGAAAAATTGACACATATCCAGATCAACAAAACCTGAGGGACCTCATCAGGACTAGACCTATAAAATCTATTATTTTAGTAATGGTTTGTAACTTTAATATTTGTTTCCACATAATTTAAGATATTAATACACTTTTTTAAATTATTAATGTAAAAGCTAGTATTATTGTAACTTTGGTTTGTAACTCAGCAGTTTGTTTTATACAGAATTTAATAGAGTAATGCATTTAAAGAATTATCAGTGTATGTTTTGGGGCACACAATATATTAAGACGTAATTTTGTGACATAAACAACTAAAGTGGTGATGACTACACTGTAAATAGGCAGCTTTTGTTGATCAAAGTTAAGCTAGTATAACAAATTAGAGTACTGTAAGTTTAGGACATTAAAATGCTGTCCCCATAGTAACCAAAGAGAGTAGCTATAGAATATACACATAAGGAAATGAGAAAGGAATTAAATGTTTCAATATAAAAAATCAATTATACAAAGAAGAAAATATTAATGCAGGACATATGGGACAAAAGGTATAAGGTATAAAGGAAACAAACAGAAAAATTACAGAAATATATCCCTCTTTATCAGTAACCACTTTAAATGCAAATGGATTGAATCCTCTACTCAAAAAGCAGGGATTTGAAGAATGGGTTTTAACAAAATGTTCCAACTAAATGAGATCTTAGAAGATGCTCACTTTAGTCCAAAGACACAAATAGATTGTAAGAAAAAGCATGAAATAAGATAGTCCATGCACATTGTAACCAAAAGAGAGCAGAGGTGGATACACAAATATCAGATAAAATATACTTTAACTAAAAAAGGGCATAAGAGCCAAAAGTACATTAGATATCAATAAGTTTTCATAGAGGAAAAAAGTATAATAATTATAAACATTTGCAAACCAAATAACAGACCATCAAAATATATAAAGCAAAAAATGACAGATTTGAAGGGAAAAATAGACAGTTCTACAATAATAGAGACTTCAATACACCATACTGAATAATAGATAGCACAACTAGACAGAATATTAGTAAAAAATCAGAGGACTTAATCAACAGAATACACCAAAAAGATCTAACAGACATATACAGAACATTCTACCCAACAGCAACAGCAACAGCATGTACATTCTCCTCACATCCACATGGGACATTTTCAGGATAGACCATATGCTAAGACAAAAATCAAGCCTCAATAGATTAACAAAGACAGAGATAATACAACCTGTCTTCTCCAGCCACAATGGAATGAAGTTAAAAATAAATAACAAGAAGGAAAACTGACATTCTCAAAAAAGTTGTAAAAATTAAACAACATACTTTTAAACAACCAATGGATAAAATAAGCAAACACAATGGAAATTTAAAAATACTTAGATATGAATAAAAACGAAATCACACATCAAAATTTGGGGAACACAGTGAGTATAGTGCTAAAGAGTAAATACATACTTTCAAATGCTTATATTAGAAGTAAGAAGATCTCCAATCAGCAACCTGATTTTACAACTTAAGGAACAAGAAAATGAAGATCAAACTAAACCCAAAGCTAGAAGAAAGCAGGAAACAGTAAAGGTTATAGCAGAAATAAGCAAAATAGAGAATAGAAAAACACTACAGAAAACTAATAAAAAGTTGATTCCATGAAAAAAATCAAGAAGTTTAATGAATTTTTAACTAGACAAACTAAGAAAAAAAAGAAAAATCAAATTATTAAAATCAGAAATCAGAGTGGTGACATTACTACAAATTCTATAGAAATAATAAAGCTTATGAGACTATAGTTAAGAATTCTACATCGACAAATTACATATCTTAGATAAAATGGATGAATTTTTGAAACAAAAGCACTGTCATCACTAAATGACAGAGAATTAAGAAATCTGAATAGACCTATAATTGGTAAGAAGATTTAATCAGGAGTCAAAATTCTCCTGATTAAAAAAAAAAATCCCTGGTGTCTTCACTGGTGACTTCCACCAAATGTTTAATGACAAACTAATACAAATATTTTCCATTATTTTCCAAAAAATCGAAGAGGAAGGAGCAACTCTTAGTAGAAAAGCTTCACAACATTGGATTTGGCAGTGATTTCTTGGACATGACATGAAAGGCACAGACATCAAAAGAAAAAATAGACAAAATGAACTACATGATTTTTTTTAATTGTACATCAAAAGATTCTATCAGCGGAGAATTTTATCCACAGAATTGGAGTCTATAATTATAAATCATATATCTAAAAGGAATTAACATCCAGAATGTATAGTGAATTCTTAAATCTCAATAACAACAGCAGCAAAAATCTAATAATCTGATTTTTAAAATGAGCAAATGATCTGGGTAGACATTTCTTCAAAGAAGATATACAAATGGCCAACAAACACATGAAACAATGCTCAACAATGCTACTCCATGGGAAAATGTGAAGAAAAACTTCAATGAGATATCACCTCACAACCATTAGGATGATTATAATAAAAAAAACAGAAAATAAAATACATGTTGGTGAGGATGTGGAGTAACTGCAACCCTTGTGTACTGTTGGTGGGAATATAACATAGTATTGCCACTGTGGAAAATCGTATTGTGGCTCCTCAAAAAATTTAAAGTAGATTTATCATGTGATCTGTTAATTCCACTTCTGAGAATGTACCCAAAATATTGAAGGCAGTTTCTCAAAGACATATGTGTACATTCATGTTCATAGCAGCATTATTCACAATGGCTAAAACTAGGAAGCATCACAACAGTCCCTTACTGGATGAATGAGTATCAAAATGTGGTGTATAAATACAATGGAATATTATTCAGCCTTAAAAAGGAAGAAAAGTCTAATGTATGCTAAAATGTGGATAAACTTTGAGAACATCTTGCTAAGTGAAATAAGCTAGTCATAAAAAATAGGTTACTGTATGATTCCACTTAGATGATGCTATGGTTTGAATGTGTCCCACAAATTTCATGTGAGATATTAATTGCATTAACCTCCAATGCAGCAGTTTTCAGAAGTGGGACCTTTAAGTGGCTGATTAGGTTACCAGGTCACCAGGGCTCTGCCTGCATGAAATTCTTAATGTCATTATCATGGAATTGAGTTAGTTATTGTAGGCGTAAGCTTGTTATAAAACCCAGTTTGGCCCTCTCTTGATCTCTCTTCCTCTTCCACCTTCCACCATGGGATGATCCATCAGGAGGGTCCTCACGAGATGAAGTCCTCTCAACCTTGGGCTTCCTAGCTTCCAAAACTGTAAGAAATACATTTTTTCCTTTATAAATTACCTACACTGTGGTATTCTGCTATAGCAATATAAAATGGTTAAGACATGAGGTACTTAAGAGTAGTCAAAAATGATAGAGACAGAAAGTAGAATTATAATTACAAGGAGCTGACGGGAGAAGGGAAAATTATTGTTTAATAAAGATACAGTTCCCATCATACAAGAAGAAAATAATTCTATAGATGGATTGTGGTCATGGTTGTACAAACAGTATGAAATTATTTAATACCACCAAGCCCTACACTTAAAAATGGTTAGGATGGTAATTTTTATGGTATGTATATTTTACCACAATAAAAAGTTTTGAAAAAAAAAGTTGGATGTAAATCTCATCTTTATTCCATTGTTGATCATCTGTATTTTCTCTCTGGCTGTCTGTGAGATCTCTTTGTCTCTAGCATTCTGTATTTTCACTGTGCTATATCCAAATGTGATTCTTGTTTTTCTTGCTTTTGTTTCCAATGTATCTCAAATCTTTCATCATTTCTATACACTATTTCAGCTACTTTTATCTTTAATATTGTTTTTTTTCTTACCACCTTCTACATTCTCTCTTTGAGAAAATACAATTAGATATATGTTGAATTGTATTTATCTTTCATTGTTTTTAACCTTTTAAAAATTTTTTCATCTCATTTTCTCTCTGTGCTACAATCTAATTTTTAGATGTACCCTCCTCTACTGCAAAAGTCTTTTTCCCTAGCTCTTTGAGAAATAATTAACAAACAAAAATGTTAAATATTTAAGGTGTGCATTGTGATGCTTTCATATATGTATACATTGTGAAACGATTACTACAATCAAGATAATTAACATATCCATCATCTCATATAGTTACCATTATTTTGTAGTGAGAACTCATAAGATCTACCCTGCTAGCAAATTTCTAGTATATAATACATCATTATTAATTGTAGCCAAAATGAGGTACAATAGATCCCATGCTTTATTCATCCTTACTAACCAAAACTTTGTAACTATTGACTCAAATCTCACCATGCCTTTTTAATTGTTCCTACTGTTCATTTTTTCAGCTTAATGAAACCATTCTTTTAAAAAAAAATTTGATTGGTATGATTTTCCTTGCCAGAAATTCATTTTTCTTCTCTTTCAAATATAAATGGCCAATTTTTACAGTCATTTGTGCCTTTTTCATGCTTTTGACTCCATCTTTTTTGGTTTGTTCAAAGAGATTAATGTAATTATTTTATAATCTGTATATAGTGATTTTACTATGTAGTCTTCACAAATTTAATCTGCATTTTAAACCTTTTTATAATGTCTTATTTCTACACATGTAGTATTAATTTGTTTGTTAAAATTAATGTTCTTTGGAGTTTGTTTTTTCTGTGAGAACAATTAAAGTTGTGTATTTTATTTTTTTCCCCACAGAGAAGTTTGGTATTTACATCAGTTACACACTTAGGACACCAACTTCCCAAGACCACTTTTCATTAAAGTTTACGTTTGGAGCCATACAAGTTAGTGTGAATGAGCGCCCCAATGCCATAGGGAAGATGACTCATGATTAGGAAATCCCAGGGAGACACTTTCTTTTTATTAATTTACCTCTTGCTATTGACTGGTGAGACTAAGAAAGCCACATTTCTTCCTCCTTCGCCCCTTGAGAGAACAGTCCTAATTCATCTCAGTTTTATATGGGGACAGGCCATGGAAGTCTTACCAGCATACAGAAGGTAGTCTGTATCATTTTGTTAAGTGAATAAATAAGTGCTTCTCAAAGAGAAGTTATTTCCAATATTAAATTGACCACTTCAGCAGCGCTTATTAATGGTCTTTAGAAGTTACATTTTCTTTTGCTTCATTAGAGTAAGAAAGGAGCCAATGAGATTTTTAGAAAAAGTTGAATAACATAAACATTTTCTGAAACATAAATAAACATGTCATATGCAGTTAAATATGTGAGCCTTTGTCCACAATCCTATTCTATATAACTAGATGTTCTATATGTGGAAACTGTTTCTTAAAGTTGTGCCTTAAGATGGAATCAATCTATGTGCATCACATTTTGGGAACACTTAGGCCATGAAGATGTTGGTTATACCCAAAATGCTTCCCCCCGTCACTACCACCTGCCTTCCTTGAATCTCTGTGTTGCAACATTCTCTAGAAAGATGTTAACTCTTACCATGAGAGAATGAGCAATCTGAATAAACCTTTGCATGTCCACACTCAGTGATATAATTCATCTAACAATAATGCTTTAGGTTACTTTTGATTGCTAAAACTTGAATCAAGTATTTCTGAAATGGATAGAAGGGTCCTATGCCTAGGGTGTCCTTATATATATTATTATAAATGGCTCTACAGAAACACAAAGTTCACTCTGCTATCTCTTTACCATGCCTCTGCTTCAATGCAAAAAATGGCAAATTTCTTCAGTTCAAAGAACACCAGAATTTAGCTTAAGTAAAATGCCTAGTGTCATTCCATCAGTAAAAGAAGTGCAGTTCCCTAACTGAGGTAAAATTCAAGTAACTGTCAGCGGTTCATATTATCTCTCACTGCATCTGTAAGATTATTTCAATTGGGAAAAGAAGTAGCAGAAGATACTTGTAAGGCTTTTTACAAACGCTTGCAATTTTTCTCTGGGAACTTTCTACTCTTCTGTCTGTTTGACCCTTCAGAGAAAGTTCATCTTCTAAAAGAACCACAGTTTTTTGCCACAGAACCATCAGTCTTACCAAGGCTGAAAAGCAGCCCTGAATCTCTCCCACCACTTAAACTTCATTATCTGCATATTAAATGATTTTAGGCAAAGTATCCCCATTTTATAAATTTATTTCTTATAATAAATGCAAAAGTGTGTATCTGCTTTGAGAACAAAAAATTGTTATTTTTTTGTTTTTCCTCATTTTGAGGGAGAAAAGCATGAAAAAGAAAATGACTACTATTTTCATCTTCTATTGCAATTGCATGGTTTGAAAACCTTAATGCCAAATCTAATAGCTGAATGTTATTAATATCCCATACCACAAGGAAGACTGGAAAACAGGAAAAGTAAAGTAAAAGTTTGACAGTTTCCATTAAATGTGTGCTGATATTTTTCTGTAATACTGAGATTTTTTTCAAGATAAACAATTTAACTGTATTTCCTAATTTTACACATGTAAGATATATGCTCCTTAGATGCCTTGCTATGAAGAATAAATGTGTTCCTATTACACAGTGCTTGTTATGAAAGACTCTCACAGTTGTATAGCTCATTTGACTACATCATATGACACTGTGCCACATCATTAATTTATGCAATTTTGTTGGACGTTAGTCTGTTGAATATACCACCTGTTGTGTATACTGTTTATCTCTGTTACTGTGTTTGATATTTCGTTGCTATGTCAAAATTAATAAGTTACTATTGGTATTTTGCTTCTTCGTTCTACTATATAAATTATTTAGCAATTTCTTTAAGTAAATGCCACTTACCACTTTTATTACAATAATGATAAAGATAATTCTTAAAATAATAATGAACAAGATGATAAACATAATAATTAACATTTTCCAAAGCATTTTCACATATTGTATTCACAACAATACTGTCAAATAAGAAGAAAGGTCTATTATCTTCCTTGCACAGAAGAAAAAATAGATTAAGAATTATCAGGCAACCTGTCCAATATTATATAATTTGTAATTTTTATACAGGATACTCAGATTTGCAGGAGAAATTCCACTTCAGAAAGCACCAAATTACCATCACATTGATTTCCAAATGCCTAATTTAAATATCTAGATATCTAAATATCTGAAGTCATTTTTCAGAAAATGTGCATGTAATTTTCCAGAGACATATATTATAGATAGTTATTAAGTTCGAATATAACCCTCAAATAACCAATTCATCTCAAATAAATGTGAAAAATAAGTAAGACAGAGACTAACATTGTTTTTTAGAAAAACTACCAGTTTCTCCTGAGGTAAGTGGTTGCTTTCTCCTTTCAATGTAAAGAGAAAAGGTTTAGCTCTGAAACTGTTCTGTAATGCTTGGGATTCAGAAATGTGCAAGAGTACATCCTGCTTTCATTTAGGTGACAATAAAAACAGAAATGAAGTTAAGTTAGTCCATGCAATTATTATGGAAGAATTAGTATAATTATAGATCTCAAAGGTATACTCAACATCTTTTTAAAAAATAAATTCAGAATATGCATATAGTTGGTAATGTCCATTCCCAGCAGGAATAACTGAAAAGGACAAATATTTGAAATGTCATCCTTATTAATTGATGGTTTCTCATACTCAGCTTGAGCAGAGTCAATAAAAACATTACCTTGATGAAGGTACAAACTTATAAGAAAATATAGTTAATATTTACAGTAGGGAGATAAATGATCAATAAAATCCCTATTTGTTTTTGTTTTATTTATAATCCAGCCTGCAGTTCTGCTTATCTTTTAAGTAGATAGGGTCACTAAGGAGGCTCCTGCAGGGTGCAAGGATGCCTGCAGTCAAACTCACCACCCTGGAAAGCAAGCAGTGCTGCCTTCAGCTAAATACAATAGAGAACACTGTCAGTTCTATGCTCCTAGAATATTGTGAGGCACAGAAAAACAAATTAGGAAAGGGTTGGCACTCCAGCCCTTACAGCAACTTCTCTGTTGTTTATTCCCTTTTATTTCTGTACTGAGTGCCCAAGGCCGTGAGACCTTACCTCTTGCATCAATGTGACCTGGATGTGAGACATGGAGTCAAAGAAGATCATTTTGGAACTTTAAGGTTTAATGACTGTCCTATTGGATATTGGACTTGCATGGGGCCCTAGCCCCTATGTTTTGGCCAATTTCTCCTATTTGAAATGGGCGTATTTACCAAATGCCTGTGCCCCCATTGTATATAGGAAATAATTAACTTGCTTTTGATTTTACAGGCTCATAGGTGGAAGGGACTTGCCTTATCTCAGCTGAGACTT
Organism: Homo sapiens; assembly: GCF_000001405.40. Lineage (NCBI taxonomy): Eukaryota > Metazoa > Chordata > Mammalia > Primates > Hominidae > Homo > Homo sapiens. Next base: position 84,331,202 of record NC_000005.10, read on the forward strand.
CGGACATGGACTTTTGAGTTAATGATGGAATAAGTTAAGACTTTGGGAGACTGTTGGGAAGGCATGATTGTGTTTTGAAATGTGAAGACATGAGATTTGGGAGGGGCCCAGGGATGGACTGATATGGTTTGGCTGTGTTCCACCCGAATTTCATCTTGAACTGTAGTTCCCATAATCCCCATATGTTGTGGGAGGGACCTGGTGGGAGGTAATTGAATCATGGGGGACATTACCCTCATGCTTTTCTCATGATAGTGAGTTCTCACAAGATCTGATGGTTTTATAAGGGGCTTTGCCCTGCCTTTGCTCTGCACTTCTCATTCCTGCTGCAATGTGTAAAAGGACATGTTTGCTTTCCCTTCCATCATGACTGTAATTTTCCTGAGGCCTCCCCAGCCCTGTGGAACTGCGAGTCAATTAAACCTCTTTCCTTTATAAATTACCCAGTCTCGGGTATTTCTTCACAGCAGCGTGAGATGAACTAATACACTGAGATTTACCTTCAAAATATATTTTATATGAATATTTAAATGTTTCTCTGTATACTATTTTTAAATTTAATACTGGGATCAACTTTAGTACAGAGCCTATTCATTTATGTTCTTTTTAACACTTCATGTACATATTCAGAACAAAACCAACATAATCTCAATCAATGCTTCATGAAAAAAGAAGTAAATGCATTATATGGTCCCAAGGAACTACTGAATTATTCGTGCCTAGAGTTAGGGGCAAATTGGCAATTATGTTGTGAGGCAGGATACATTCATCCCGTTAGAAAACACACTGTAAGCTTCTCCAGCCAATCTATGAAAGGATTATTTTCTGACTGATGGAAGATCAGTCTGAAATCTAACATCAGACTCATTCTAGGAAAATAAAGTGGGTCAGGCATGGTGGCTCATGCCTATAATCACAACCCTTTGAGAGTCCAAGGTGGGAGGATCGCTTGAGGCTAGAAGTTTGAGACCAGCCTGGGCAATATAATTAGACCCCTCTTTACAAAAAATAAAACAAAAAATTAGCCAGGCATGGTGGCACATGCTTGTAGTCACATCTATTCAGCAGGCTGAGGCAGAAGGATCACTTGAGCGCGGGGGTTGGAAACCATAGTGAGCTATGATAGTGCCACTGCACTCCAGCCTGGGCAACAGAGTGAAAATCTGTCTCCAAAAAAAGTTGAGGAGGTGGATAATTGGAACTGAATACTGCGATGGTTGATTTTCCTAACTCAGTTGAAAACAATTTCAGAGGCTTCAAGATAACGTTCTAATTATAGGATTGTTTTCAGTGCAAGATTTCATGAACTCAAGTAACTGTTTTCTTTAAGGAACTTAAAAGAATCTCCCTTCTTTTCAGGTATGCAGAAGACATGTCAGGATCTTAACTAGTAGAGACATAGGGTCTTGCAAAAGGAGGGCCCAGGGCAAGTCTGGTTGTATTAGCATTACTAGTATTTGTCATTATGCTGGCAGCCAAACTCCTGCTGACATTATGGTTGTGTGGTTTGGTACTTCTTCTTACTTCTGGCTGTGAATTAGCAAATCAGTGTCTTATATTTAAGGTGCAAACAATATGGCTGATCACAAAGAGCTGGAACTATAATTAAAGAAAAAAAGCAATGAATGTATTTCATTTGTTTAATATCATAATAGGTCCCCACTTGAAAATCAAATAATCCACCTTTTGAAATTGAGATTGAGAGACATTAGTAGTTTTTGACAGGGGAAAAATTCCAGAATAAAAACTGATTTAAATGAAAAACTAATCATGATCTCAAATAACAAAAATGTGCACTAACACATTCTATTTGTTTAATTTCAAATGGATAAGCTAATAACACAGCTAGATAGATAAAATAAGAGAAAACTTGTGCAAAACTCTTAAATGCCCACCCTTTCATAAAGAACTAAAAGATAAGTATAATTTTTAGAGTCGGACTACTAAATACTGTTTCTATAGAGACATTTGAAGATTAATAATTACATACATTTATAAACCACAAAAATTGAATAGTGAAATAATTATGAACATACGAATTTCACTAAGTAAAACAGTATTTGCATAAGAACATTGAACTTTGTATATAACAAATGAGATAATAATAAATTAAATAATACAAATAAGAAGCAGAGCTTCCTAGGGAGTAACAAAAGAAAGGTTCTTAACATTTCACTGAAAAATATTCTTAAAAAATAGTTCTGGGAAACTGAAGTATTCAAAATGATAAAGTCATTAGTCCTGGTTTTCTGAACAAACAACAAATTAACAAGATCAAAAGCACAAACATAATGGAAGAGTTACTTGGAAGTGAAAGATAAATTTCTATGTCAAAAGTAATAAATAACAGGAGACGAGGTATATTTTTAGAGCATAAAATTATCTCATGCTAAAGTTTGTTTTTCATTTTTTAAATTTTGGAAGCATACACTTTTCATTAATTAGACTAAAAGGCCTTAAAGTAAATTAATAATCAAGTAGAATAATAATATCCATAAATATTATATGAGTACGTTCTATTTCCTACTATAGCATACTTAATAGGTGAAATAATTGAGTCAAACTTTCTCCTAAAGCATATAATCAATAAAAATAAGTAATTTATTATATTCAAAGTTCACATTTGGAAGAATTTTAGTGCTGCCTGACAGAATAGAGAAAAATCAAAGATATGAAGGGTGTAACATTTTAGGTGATTAGGGAAGTAGAGCAAGGGCCATGATTTAAAAAGTGCAATAATTGTACAAAATATGTCTTCCTGTCCAGAAGGTCAAAAGTAGGTACCAGTAGCCAATGAATTTCATTGATCTAGAATCTTTGTATGTAAGAACGATGCCCTTACACAGGGGCCATGTGGAAGAGTTGATTTTTTTTTTTTTTTTGAGATGGAATTTTGCTCTTGTCACTCAGGTGGGAGTGCAGTGGTGCTATCTCGGCTCACTGCAACCTCTGCCTCCCGGGTTCAAGCGGGAGCCTTAGCCTCCTGCGTAGCTGAGATTACAGGCACCCACCACCACACGCGCCTAATTTTTTTGTATTTTTAGTAGAGACAGAGTTTCACCATGTTGGGCAGGCTGGTCTCAGACTCCTGACCTCAGGTGATCCACCCACCTCGGCCCCCCAAAGTGGTGGGATTACAGGCATGAGCCACCGCGCCTGGCCAGAAGAGATGCAATATTTTATTCTTCAAATACTGCAACTGAAAAAATGAAAAGTTTGTCTTAAAATTCAAGAAATCAAATTATTCTTCATTTTAAACTCAATCAAATCATCCCCATATAGAATTTTTTGTCAATTTGCCTTGATTCATTGTGACTTTTCAGTGTTTGGCTTTCCATTTCTTATTCTCCCTTTCAGAGATACATACCTATTGATGACTTTGTTAGATATTTATTGAAAGTATTTTATGTGCTAGGCAAAAACAATAAAAACAAACCTGGTTTCTGCATTCATTTGAGCTTAAAGTATCATCATCAAAAGATACCATTAACTTTTAATGATGCCCTCAAAGTCACATTTTTTTCTTCATCTTTTGCCTCAAATATTATTTTCTTCTATCTTCCTAAAGTCATATCTTCTTTTAAATTATCTTTCAGTAAATACTATTTTTTAAAAAAACTTTCTAAATAAACATTGATGAGCATTTAGTTCATGTGCTGTTTTGTGCTATAAAATTTTAAACTAAATTTGGGTCAGAGGTCTCTTAAATCCTTTACTATTTTCTTATTCCATTTTGTTAGTAATTATGCAATTGTAATTAGAAGACAGATATTATTTTTTTTAAAAGAATCCCATTTTCCTTATAATTCCAAATTGCCTGTAGTGCTAACATATTTCACTAAACGCTTTACATATGTTTTCATTACTGGTCTTAATTTACACAGTGATGACTTCTCATTACTTATTCCTGAAGTCACTTTTAATCTTATGTCTTTGGTTTGTGATTTTGTTTATACCTTCCCCCGGCTGAACCACCATATGTTCAAGAGGTTTAGTCTGAAATTTCTTGTCTATTCAATATTTCTTTGTCTGCCTTAACAATTTTTCAAACTGTTACAAGTTTTCCCCTTCATCTTCTGACACAAGGGCTTTATAGCCATGCTGTCCCTTTAATTTGTCCCTGCTTTCCAGACATATTCCTCTTCCTGCTCTCTTATCACTAGAATCTCCTTTCTTCTGTTCATTCTCCTTTTACCAGCATTACCATATCCTCCATTTTTATCCCCAGGGTTATTGCTCCTTTTATTTTGTTATATATTTGTATCGGAAGGCAAGCCCTAACCTAGGCACTGAATGTGTTGAGTAGCACTATTCATTCAAAAACATTTGTGAAGCAACTACTTTAAGTCATGCCTTAAATAAGAATCTGAGGATATAAAGAAAACTACGTCCCAATTCTCTAACTCAAAGTATGAATAAGCAAATGGAGAACCCAGCTTGTGAAATAAATAATTAAAATACAAATGGCATTAATTTTTATAAACAATACAAGTATATTCCTTGGGAAGGAAGTGAAGAAAAGGTAGAGGGGTTATGGAAGATATCTTAGAGGAGGATGTCTCAGTCTGTTTATGCTGCTATAATTAACGTCTAAGACTGGGTAGTTTATAAAGAACAGAAATTTTTTTGTCACAGTTCTGGGGGCTGGGAAGTCCAAGATCAAGATGTCAGCATATTCAGTGTCTTGTGAAGACTCACTCTCTTCTGCAAAGATAGCACTACTTACTGTTTCCTCAGATGGAGGAAGGTGGAAAAGCAAAAGGGATAAACAGTTCCCTCACACCTCTTTCACAAGATCTTTAAATACATTTATGAGGGCTTTGCCATCATGACTAAGTCACTTCCTATATGTCCCACCTCTTAATACTATCACATTGGTGATTAAATTTCAATGCATGAATTTTAGGAGGACACATTCAGAGCATAGCAGAGGGCATATTTGAACTGGCTCTTGATATACAATGAATGGGTAAGAGAACATAGAAGGTGAGTAAAGCATTCATGACAGTGGAACTAGCATGTTCAATGACAAGTATAAAGACCTGCGTGTATTCAAGTCTACATGTAGTTGAAGAACAGGGTGGGTGGAAGGTGAGACTGCAAAGGTAAATGTGGATCAGGTCATGAGAAGCCTTGCAAGATACTTATGACTTAGGTTACTTCTTGTGAGTTATGGTCTGTAACTGAAAGATTTCAAGTCGAGGGGATATCTGCAGTGTAAAGATAATTATTGAGACAGTATGGAGAATGGATTAGAGGAGGCTGAAACATGAGTCAGGATTAGTGGGAAGTAATTACAATAATTCAGGGAAGAAATCACGGGATTCTGGACCAAGACAGTGAGAGTGTTGATGGAAAAACAGTAAAATATTAGAGATTGTTTAGGAAAGGGCATCAGTATTTAATAACTATGACTGGGAGGAGAAAGAGGTTGAAGAAGGTAATCCATAATGAATTCAGGCATTGTCCACAAGGTGAATGGTGGTGTCTTTAACTAAGACATATTTAATCTACAGTAATAATTGAGAGAATGCTAAATATCACTATAAAATAACAATTTCTGGTAAGTTTATTTATCTTAGATAATTAAATAGAGTTTCAAAATGTGATGCCAAGGATATATCTCCTCTGTTCTTCCTTAAAGTGAGATCTTATCTCACAACTCTGAGACAAATTTTTAAAAAAGGAAAAAGCTTTGAAAGTTAAAGGAACTTGCTTAAAGTCACTTATCTAGTAGGTAGTAAAACTGAAAATCTATTCTAATTCTTGCCTAGTCTGGCAGTTCTTTTAACTATATGGATGTTATAGAGTTGCACAAGTTGTTCACTGCACAAGAGTACACCAGGCCAAGCAACTAAGTGGGGATCAAATTCCAGCCTGTGCTCCACCAACACATCCTGAACACTGTTCCAAGTCTGTATATAAAATTTGAAGAGGTGCCTTTTCCAAATTCATTGAAAAGTCCTCTGATAACCAAGCTCTGCACCCTCAGAACTTTGTCTCCTTAAAGGAATTGAATTGTTAGAATTTGTAGAAAGGTACAAAGCCAAATCTTGAGGTGGCCCTCTTTATCTGTTGTATCTTAAGAACTTGCTGTATCTAGGTACACGTTGATCTGCTTTTGGTAAAAAGCTAATGAAAACTGTCCCAAAATGGAAAGCGTGAAGAGAGGGAGTGGGGAGACTACTGAGCTAGAAATTTCCTGTACTCTGTTACAAATGGTAGTTACATCCTCAAATTAGAGAGTATAGGTAACTAATAATAAAAATTGTAGTCATCCTAGTATGACTAAAATTAATTACTATATACATGTATATCTTCAGGGGACTGGTTCTGAAACTAGATTTAAAAAAATCATACCCAGAGCATGGCTCTAGAGCACATATACATAGAATATGATTCAGATATAACAAAGAATAAAAAATCCTTTTCTGGCACCATATAGGGTTTATTTTATATTACTATAAATTTATGACTAAATGACTATATTAGGCTGACCTTCAATATTTCCTGTAACTTTTTCATCATGATAAATGATGAATCATAATGAGAAAAGTGATTTCTTCTATAATGGTGTGAATATTTCATTTTTACTGAAGAACTATAATCTTCAATTTCATGTTGAATAAGAAATCATAATCATATGCAACACTATGCAAAAGCTATGAGGTTGTCCTTTATTGTACCATAATAAAATCCGAGGTTATCAGTCATGCAACTATAGAAGAATGTGCATCTTCTTTTCTATTTAAGACACGCTTCTGTGTTTCTCCGAATTTTCATGACTATTATTAAATACTGACCTATACACATAGATAAATATGCATAGTGATCAAATAATTGGGCATAAAAATACACCTAAAATGTAAACTTTAGATTTATGCTATTTTAAATTTTTCATATTCTCTTTACTAATACTAATACTCTTTACTAATACTAATTAGGCTAGAATCTCCATAACCAACCACCACTGGAAATTATACTAATCCTTGGGAATATAAGAAGGACTAAGGAGACCATCCTTTAGGAAGCACACTCCTGACTAAATTTGGCTGTCCCTCTAACTTGCTTTGGCCAATAGAATGCAAACAGGTGTGATATGAGCAGGGATCTTAAAATGCGCTTATGCGACTTGGTGGACTTCCTGCACTTCTGCCATCTGCCATGAGAGGACCATTCCTTGTAAGATAAAAATGCATAAAGCAGCTATAAACTCAAGTTGTAGCCTGAGGTCAAGCCCAAACAATCTATAGCAGAAAGAGAAGCTGCCTCCCTCTCTGTCTCCCTCCCTCTCTTCCTTCCTTTTGCTATCAGAGTGTGCTTTTCTAATGATGGACCAAAAGGGTGGAAATTGAAGCTAGTACTGCCTTGGGACTTTAACTAGGAACTAACATGCTGTCACTTACACCCTTTGGTTAAATAAGCCTTGTAACAAAACTCAACATCACTGGGATGGGGAAATAGAAACTCTCACTTTCATACATTGTGAAGTCACATGATAGGAGGCAGTAAATAACTGAGAACATCATACAATCCACTGAAACCTTTTACTAGGAAAAGAAATTACTGTGCCTCATTTTTCAAGGCTAAGGCAGCACCCCAGGCCCAGATATGTGGGCATATGACCTGTGAAATCACACAGGGCCCCCATACTTTCAAGGGCCTTGCACTTGGTTTAATGCTCTGCTGTCACCATTTTTAAAGTCTTAACATTTTTATCAAGGAGCTTAAATTTATCATTTTGGGCTGAGTCCTGCAAATAATGTAAATAGATCTGTCACTATTCATCCCTCCCCTTCCTTCTGTCCACCCTTTCTCTTTTGTGTACTGGGCTCTGTGGTTGGTGCTGGGGAGATGGTAAAAATGATTAACAAGGACTTCACTTTTCTATACGTACCAGATGCTATTTATCATCACAGATAAAATAACGACTCTTGAGCCATGCTGTCTGGGATTAAATTTCCTTCTGTCACTCTTCACCTGTGTGACATTGGGAAATTTACTTAACTTCTTTGTGCTCTAGATTACTGTTAATATAACAGGGATAATGTAATTATAGCCTCTACTTCATAGGGCAGTAGTAAGGGTTGGATGCATTAATAAATATAATACAGAGCTGGACACACAGTGTGCAAAATATAAATAATGACAGCATTATCAGCACTATTGTTACTATTTTGTTCTCAAAAAATATACTTACTTTTATCTCCTTTAACCTCCTCTCAGGCACTGTACCCATCATCCTGTATTTTTTATATTTAGTTTCTCCCTCTTTACTGGCTGTTCTCCCACTGCCTATGCATTGGCTTAACTCTTAAGGAAGTTTGTGTAAGGATATTTTCCTATCTACTTATATAGTTGAGTGACTTATTCCCTGAGGTATACTGTGTTTTAAAATACTGTGTTTTTTTTTAATTTTTGAAACATTATATATGCTGCTTTTAACAACTACCTTTAGAAAAATCCTACATGTTACTGTCTGATATACATGGTAATTAATCTCAACTCTAAAATGGACCTATTCATGCTCTCTAAAGTATACTTTAATACATGTATAAGTAGAGGGACTTCTAACTCTAACACTAGAAGATAAGTCTAAGAATTCAGAAAAGAAAAGAAATGAGGGGCAGGCTATCCTAGAGACACTTTCTTAAGTAGCCTTAATCTGTTAAAATATACCTAATTATTGAATTTTATTCTTGTTCTAATTGTTTTAAATAATCACAATATCTGTAAGTACAGAAGAGAACAGAAAGCACAGCATTAAAAATAAAAACATATTTTAGCATAGAAGAAACTATTCTTCAATAGTAATTTTTACATAGAAAAATATTAAATTTTATAACATTCTAGACTATTAGGGGATTTTTTTGTTGTCGTTTTCTTTTATTGCCTTGTTATTCAAATATCATGGCATAGGTAGTATTACTGCCTGTGAATAAAAGAACATCTACTTCCAATTCTAAAGTAAATTATGAACAACAAATCTTGCTAAATTTATAATATGGTCTTCATAAATGTAAATAACTTTTACATTAACAACAAGAAAAAAAAATCAGTGTCTCAGAGCACTGACTCTGGAACTGAGCAGCTCTGCCAGTTATAAGCTCTGCTACCTTGAAAAGTTATTTAACCCTGCAGTACCTCAGTTATCTCTAAAATAGGGATGATAATAATCCATTTCTTATTTGGAGGATATGAGGTTTAAATTAGTTGACATATGTAAATAATTAGAACAGAGCCTGGGAATTTTAATTAGTAGCTATTATTATTACCCATGGAATTTCACAAAGGGAAGATTACTCTCTCTCTCTCTCTCTCTCTCTCTCTCTCTATATATATATATATATATATATATATATATATATATGTTAGTCTACATATATATATGTATGTATGTATATAAAAATTGAACTCTCTATTACCAAGTAATGCATGTCTCTAGTTTTTAGATTCCACTTTAATAGCATGCCCATTGCATTGTTCCCTCACACCTGCACATACTTTAAAGGCATTACATAAACATAAAATATCTCCAGTCTTTCCATTGCCAGTGAGATAAAGATCAAATGATATGGCCCCTGCACTATTCTCCATCAAATTTCAATGCTTTCCTGACTGTTTAGGTCTGTTCTCCAGCTTCACAAATTTTCATTCAGTTTCTCAAAGGCACTGTATTTCCTCCTGCCACAGGGCTTTGTTGCATACATGCCTCAACTCCAATCCAAACTCCTCCCCTGCCACCACCGCATCATCCCTGTTAAGTGAACTCTTTTACCCTTCATGGCTTGGTTTAAAAGTCAGCTCAGGGAAGACTTAACAGAAAGTTGCCCTCATCCCTCCTCCAACATAGGTCTATGCTCTCAAATCATCCAACTACATTTCCTTTCCAGCTTGTATTTATTGCCTGAATAATGTTTATCTTGCCTGATGGATCCATCAGGCTTTGTACCAAAACACAACTTTTGCATAAATAGGCTCTCACAAATATTTATGGAGTGATATACACTGACCTTTTATTTTCTACATCCTCAATATTTTGCAAATGATACCATGCTTTCAACGTGTTTCAGAAAACACTGAATGAGCTCCTACTGTGTGCAATGTTCTAGACTAGGAACAGAGCAGTCAACAAGACACAGAAGTCCCTGCTCTGTGAACTACATTCTAGTTGAAGAGTTTATACTCAGACAACTATGCCTGACTATAAGTGAAAAAATTTACAAGAATCAAAACAGAGCTCAGCCCCATAGAAACAAAAGTAAAGACAATTCTTTTTCTGATTAACACAAAAAGACGTGTTCCTAATCTTTCTATAAGGTTTTGTTAAATATTTCTGTGTAATGTTAAACTTTTGAACTGCTTGCATTGCCCATGTAATTATTTCATAGGTCAGGATTTTCATACAATCATCTCAAATCCTTTTGAGATCAGACCCTAAAAACTGTTGATGAACAGAGCAAATTAATCTAACCTAAAATAGGCTAAACCTGAAAATCTGTCCCATTTCAACTATTTTTTTAAACCCTTTAACTCATAGTGGAGGAGTTTTAAAAATGTCCCTTGTGCCACTGGTCCAGTCAAATTTCATATCAAAAACCCAACTATCTAAATATAATATCTCTTTTATATACCTGAATGTCCCTATGTTTTAGCTAGGAGTATAATGCAAGTATTATAGTTTATTTTAATATAGATTCTTTCTTCCCAGAAGTTCAATACACATTAAATAACTTATCACATGAGATCAGGCACACTGTGCTATGGCCATAGACCTACCATTGATCCAACAAACCCTCCCCTGGGTATCTATGCAAAGGAAAATGAATTATTATATTTAAAAAGACACCTACATTTGGATGTTTATCACACGATTCACAACAACAAAGATACGGAATCAATGTAAGTGTCCATCAATGGATAACTGGATAAAGAAAATAGAGTGTATATAGACAACAGAATGCTTTTCAGCCATGGAAAAGAATAAAATCTTGTCTTTTGCAGATACATGAGTGGAATTGGAAGCCATTATTTTAAATAAAATGAGTCAGACACAGAAAGACAAATACTGCATGTTCTCACAAGTGGGAGTTAAATAATGTGTACACATGGACATATTTGGTTGGTGCAAAAGTAACTGCAGTTTTTGTAATGACAAATACGTTTGCACCAACCTAATAGAATTTAGAATGACAGACAATGGAGACTCAGAAAGGTGGGGGGAATGGGAGGGAGTGAATGATGGGAAATTCCTTAATAGGTATAATATACATTATTCCACTGATGGATACTCTGAAAGCCGTGACTTCACCACTACACAATATATCCATGTAATAAAATTACAGTTGTACCCCCATAGATTTATACAAATTAAAGAAAAAACTTAATGCATGCTTTTTTCCTTATACCATCCTTGAGTATTTAAACGTAACAGCCTTTCTCTTCATTATTAAATGAGGATGATTTACAATCACTAGGAGTCTTGTTTTGGCCATGAGAGGTGAATTGATTACTTTTCTTTGAAAAAAATTTTATCCATAAAACTTATGGTTTTCTGGAACTGAATAAGTGTTTGTTTCATCTATTTTTTGAACACAGAACAGCAAGTCAATCTTTATTTGATGGATTATCCTTCATGATTGCTCAGTATTACATTTCAGTTACAAGTTAGATGCTGACTTAAAATCAAGCTCTTTGCCAGAACCTTATTACTCATTTTTCATTGTTTCCACTTTGTTTCAGAGACTTTCTAACTTTCAGAGCCGAAAGTAAACTTATAAATTATCTATCCATTCATTTGTAATCAAGTTTTCTTTCAATTTTTGATAGTACTTTTTAGCAAGACTAGGATACATAATATAATTTTCAATGGATAAAAGTCAAGGGACAATAAAATATTTGTGCCTACATTATATATCTTCTTTAGAGAGAAACTGAAAACAGTATTGAGAAGTCATTTAAACTTGGACCATCTAAGATTTGAAATGTGCACCTTCTTTAGCTGCTAATACCTTTTTTTTTTAAGTAGGAAATTTTCATTTGCTGAAATTCTGCAATTTGAAATTATTTGTTTCTCTTTTATTTAATACTCACTGAGTTCAGTACATTTACAACTTTTTTTTTCATGTGCTTGGCATAACTTCTGTTCTTGGCTATGTCCCCAAACTTCTGTAACAATGGATCAGGTCTTTAAGTCCTTTTAAACTGAAGTAAAAATAGTTTCTTGACATTCATGCTTTGTCAGTAATGAATTGCCTTTTTTTAGGGGAGAAATAAATTTTCTAGTTGATCTATTGTAAGACAGGCCAGCTCATCCATATTTGGGCAGGAAATATACTTGAACTTAATTTTAGAAAACTGAGAATTAATGAGTGATATAATATCTCCATGAGAACTCCTTACCCTGGTACATGAGAAAGCCAATCTAACCAAACAAACATTAAGGTATACTTCTTATATACTCGATGATGGCTATACATGTATTTATTCTGATGTGTCTACAGGAGACGTCAAATAGAGATTGCTCTCTGTGGACTCTGGTTTCACTCTAACTCATAGCCTCTAGCAAAGCCTATCCCCTGGCTTGGAATAGAACCTGGGAAAGAAGTATGCACTTCTCTGCTACAGAAGAAGTTGTAAGGTTGAGCATGAATGTTCAGAAACTCCTGTCTGCATTACCAAAAAGTAATGGAGTTTTAGGTAAAAACTCCAAGGCTCAGGTAGTTTCAGGTTGAGTTCCCATTAGGATTTTGACATGAAACTGTTATATTTTTAATATCTGGTGAAGGAGAACACCACTTTTCTGAGAAATGTTCCCTCAATAGAAGAATTCTACTTTTAAAAAATGTTGCCTACCTATCTCTGAAAACACACAGTCGATGGTAGCAGAGGTTCTGTAGCTGTGGAAGAGGACCTAGTGCTTAGAGGAAAGGCACCCAGTATAGACACAAAGTTTGCAAAAATCCAAAATGCCCACGGAACACCTGCCAGTCAATTTTTAGTTGTGAAGAATTATGTTTATATAATTTATTACAATTGGCACCATTTACCAATTCCTTTTCATGTATTTTATTATAAGCAAATAACTCACAAGCATTTGAAAACTTTGACCTGTATGATTATTAATGTCCTCCATCTGCATAGTCCAATGTTCACCACTAGTCATATGTGACTGAGCACATATATTGTGGCAAGTGTGAATGAAGAACTAAAATTGTATTTTTAAACTTTTAATTAATTTAAATATAAATATAATAATTTAGCTATTGGAAGAATTTTAAACACGTTACCAACAATTTGTGTATGTGGTCTCCTTTTTCATATGTAAATTTTATGAAATTTAAATACAAACAAAGTATTTGTGATGACAATTTAGCATGTAGATTTAAATGTTCATTAATGTAAAATACATACCAGTTTACAAATATTTAGAATAAAACAAAAATGTAATATGTCATTAATGTTTTTATACTGTTAAACATTTAAATGAGAATAATTTTGACATATTGGATTAAATAAAATATGTTTTTAAATTAATCCAAACAATTCCTTTTTATGTTTTTTAGTGTAGCTACTAGAAATTTTAAAACTAAACATGTGGTTTATGTTATATTTCTAATAAATGGAGCCACCTTAGACAATAATAAATCATGTACTCTGTCAAATGGTAGAGTTCCAGATTTAAACATTTTATGTTAGTTCAAAATTATAATATCACTTTCAACCAGTCAGTTAGATCACTTATACCAAAGCAAATTGGTGGTTCAATTTCTAAAATTCTTGTAATTGCTTACAAAGCATTTTAGGAGGCTAACGTATTTTCAAATAAACATTTGGGGGACCTAGTTATTCTCTCATCTTTTCCCATGGCTCATTTTGTTGGCTTACACAGACATAATTCTACAAACTCTACAGCACAAATCTATTTTGTAACATCTCCCATTTCACCATGGAAGACATACTTAACCACTTAAATCCTTCTGTAATTATATTATCAGGTAACCTATGTCATTAGTTCTCTTGCCTATAGAAAGATAGAACCCTCCTGATTTGAGACATCCTAAGCATATTCTGCCAAGGAAATGTCATCTGAACACACTATTTTCCACAAAGAAAGATGGAAAATTGCTCAAATGTTCTTTTCAAACTACTCATTACCCTTAAATTAGTTTATAGTGGGTAAAAATAAATAGCAATAATTTTAAAAATAAGATACTCTTCCAATCTAAAAGCTATGACTTAGGTTGAATTTAAGAATTGAATTAAAGCATAGCAATAGCTCTCCAAATACAATGTTGCCAGATGCTGACTTTGAGAAATGGAGTAATAAAATATCTGAGCTCTCCTCCAGATGATTTAGTAGGGTCCCCTTAAAAAAAGTTCATGTCACAATTAATTGCTCCCTAGTTGGGCAAGACACAAGGTGGTTCAGAAAGAGATGATGTATTGCTTATGCTCCATTTTTAATTTATATGAATAGCTGAACAGATGCCAGGAAAAAGTATATTTATGCATCAAGATAATTTGTTTTTTTAAAAGGTCTAGAAAATTAACCAAGCATTTTTGCAAAACTTTCAAAAAAGAAAACGTAGTCAAAGGCAAGTACAAAAAGAAATGGATATATTTCATGCTAGCAAAAACTAATTCAAAACTTCTAAAAATAGGTACAGATTGAACAACATAAAACATATGGGAGACTCTCACTCAGTAGATCCCTATGAAAACACAACAATGTTTTCCAAACTACTGAAGCAGGTGAGTCAAGAAAACTGCTTACCGGCACAGGTTTTAAAAGAACAATATTTGTTTTGCTGTTGTTTTAAAAACTGATGCTTATATAAATTTCGTTTATTCTTTTAGTCATTCATTTCATTCATTTATTTCTACTCTTTTCCCTTAAATCTCTATATCAGGAGTCATCAAACTTTTTTTTTCTTTTTTTTTTTTTTTTTTGAAATGGAGTCTCGCTCTGTCTCCCAGGCTGGAGTGCAGTGGTGCAGTGTTGCGATCTTGGCTCACTGCAACCTCCGCCTCCCGGGTTCAAGCGATTCCCCTGCCTCAGCCTCCCGCAAACTTTTTTAAATAATAAACATTTTAGGTTTGAGGTTCTTATTGTCTCTGTTAATATTACTCCTCTGCCATCATAGCACAAATGCAGCCAGTGACGATACATGAAAGAATGGGCTTGGCTGTGTCCCAATAAAACTTTATTTACAAAATGGACTATGAGAGATGTTCAGATCCTAGAGTCACAGCTGGCTCACCCCGATCTATATTTTGAACAACTGACCTTGTCAATTTAATTTTTATTATCATAATATTTTCTTGAGTATTCTCCTGAGGTAGATGAGTACAGTGTACATTTTTAGTTTTGCCTGCTTGACTTTCATTCCTTTTTTTCTGTTAATAGATGTTCCTTGGGGAATCCTGCTTTCAACTTTTATCCATTTTAAATAGCTATTGGAGTTAACTCAGGGATGACAAGATGAAGCAACCAGGACATCAGAACCAGTAATGCTAACTGCAGGATTTTTGTGAAACTCTTTGGAGAAAAAGTTCATCCTCTTTCTACTAGAAACTAATAAGATGTATGTCTAGAGCCACCGATAATCATCATGTTTCTGTATCAGGACAGCCTATATGAGAATGTCCAACACAGAACCAAGAGATGGACTGAGACTCAATCCTGATGGCATATTACTTAATCTCCTGGATCCACCTGTGTTTGAAGTCAGAATCATTTCAATTGCATAAAAGAATGCATTCTCTTTTTGTCTGAATTAGTTTAAATTTTTTTCTGCCTCTTGCATGCAACAAGTACTAAAAAAAAATTGAGAAATTACCATAATATCTTAAGCCTTCTAAGTCCTAGCTCTGGGATTCAAACTTCCCAGGTAAGCCTTGACTTCTTCATCTATATATTTAGGAGGCCAGAGATAGTAACATTGTGTCCTTTTGTCCACATGTTCTGTCCTAGGCAGAGTTAATTATATGAATAAAAGGAAAACAGTAAGACTGTAAAGCTATTCACATCTCATCAAATATGATGCCCTGTTTGTATCTGTTCTTCCATTGGAAAAGTTACTCATCTCACACTGCTCTAAATAATTTCAAACCTTGCATTATGAAGGAGAAGACAAAAACTGAATATGTATAAGTGGAAAGAAATGCTATGGTCCATTTGAGAATACCTAATTAACATTTCCAGCAAATTTTGCTTTTAATTTTATTATAATGCTTTGTGCTCACATCATTATTACAGTAACTAAACCCAGCTGACTTTGCTATTGAACTTCTTAACATAAATATACGTAACTATATTTTGGCTTTTCTCTGATAATCTCAGATACATACTATTAGTTTCTATAGACAAGTCAGGATGAAGATTAATTTTGGAGAAAAATTCTAGTCACATTAAAGTCTAAAATCTAATAGGAGTAATTCTTGCATTTGATTTCACATATTATACAAGTCTATCTTTTAACAACCATTATATTCATCTTCTTTCCCAATATTAAGCTGTATTTTCCTTGAAGGTAGAGAGGTATATCACTAGTTTTTGCCCTTGCAGGAACTATCATAGTTTCTATCATGTAGAAAGGAGTCAGCATCCATTTAATTGAATTATTTTTTATGAGACACATTCATATTTTTTTTGCCTGCATCCATATTATAAAGACTTGGAAGGCAAGCACTAACCATTTTAAATGAATGAGATAAACACCCTCCTTATCTCCTGCCAGTATGTTGCTGTTTCATTCAGTTTCCCCAGTAATAGACCAGAGATGGTCTAGATTCAATTCCAGGTACTGGAAGCAATGGTGAAACAGAGGAAAATGTAAAAAAAGCAATGGTGAGGGAGAAAAGTGGTCCATGAAAGGAAACACAGTCAGTAAACAGAGTGATTATTAAGCTAATGAAGAGGGTGACCTGAGCTTAATTCCACTGAGCCAAACTTTGGAAAAGGTGGTAAATACATTTCAGGGAATTTTACCACTTGAAGCATGGAAGCTAGAGTATTTATACAGCAAGTCCCTGCAGTCATTGCTTGAGGGCTGATCCATAGGGAGGTAATTTCCTCTCATTTCTACTCTCCTTGTTCCAGGAAAAGCCTTTAAGTATAGAAATGGTATGGGAGCTGGGCATTAGCCTGGGCACCCCAAAATCTTGGGCCTGAGGGATTCAGGTGGTGCACTAACAGAGGGCCTGCTGTATCCATCTTGCCTCTCCTTTTTCCACCTGTGCTGTGCAATATTCTAAAAAATAATTATTAAAAAATCTAACTTACTAAGCTTCCTTATTCAAAAACCTTCAATGAGTCTCACTTTGGTTTTATGAAATCTAAAATCTTCCCTGGATTATCCTTTTTTTGTCTTCTATGTTCCTCTGTGGCAAAAAAAAAAAAAAACACCTGTTCGAAAATAAATAACCGAATTTCAGATGCATGTCTGTTTGGATTAAAGAAGCATACACTGAAACATATTAGTGACTTTCCAATGTGGTAGGTTTCTCTCCTTGTCCATGGTACCCAGAGAATTCACCAACACACAGAAGGTCTCCAATTTCTACTGAAGGCATAAGTATCATAATATTTTCAAACTATTTAAAGTACCATCAAAACTTGTACAAGATTCATACATCTAGTGTTTGTTGAGCAATGTTACACTTGAAACCTCTTTCGTGCTTTGTTAAATAAAAATCATATTTAATTACCTCTTGGATTATGGAAATAAAGAAGTTTATTCAATTATTATTTTAATAAACATAATTCCTACTTAAGATACCTAACAGCACTAGTCCATAATCCTAATGAACATTGCTAATAATAGCCTGACATTTTAACTATATTATAGCCCCCTTTTCTCTTCTCTTTACTATATAATGTAACATTCCTTTTAAGAGCTGAATAATATTCTTAACTTCTACTGCCAAATTTATAAACATGTCTTGCTACAATTATTTATAAAGAATAACAGCTTGCTTTCCCAAGCAGGCTTCTTGAGGCAACAGTGCATCGGATTTTTCCGCAGGCTTGTGCTGTAGAAACTTCATGGTCTAGAGGAGTTTAATTGACAATAGCCGTTCCATGTGTGTTCTCTGGCCCTGCTTGACCTGAAGCAGCTTGTTTCTCCTTCCAAGAGCTAGAGGTTATGGTGGATTGTAATGAATTGATCTAGCAAGTATTAATAGATCAACCAGCTATCCCTCTAATCTAACAGTAGTAATCCACTTAACCATCTGCTGACTCAAGTAGGACACGATTCATTATTGAAGAAAATAATGTTTTGTGAGTCACATTTTAAAATACATTTTTGGTGACAAACATAATTGTGGGCCATTTTGAAAAATGAAGCAAGCATATTTCTTTAAATATAAATTCCATTTTTAAATGGAATTCTGTTCACATATCTCCAGTCATCTTTCTGTGAATATAGATAAATAGAATAATATTAAACACCACGTTGTTATCTGACCTAATTTTTTCTCTTCGTACACCACCAACACTCTTCCATGTCAGTAAATACAGCTCACATCATTTCAATGACTGCATATTATTTCATAGTATAGGTATACCTTATTCATTTAAATGTTCACTTTTGATGTTTATATTGCATGCAATATTATAGATTTGTAAAGGTACAAATATCTTAGCAAATACTTTTGATTAACTTAAAAATAGATAGGTAATTTACTATGTGCCAGCAACTGTTCCAAAAACTTTATCAATATTAACTTGCTTAATCCTTATAACAGCTCTACGAGGTAGATACTACTCTTTATTTATTTCTACAAATGAAGAAACTGAGTTGCAGAGAGGCTAGGTAAGTAATTCAAAGTTACACATGTACTATATGAAAGATCTTGTTGTCTAACCCAGGCATCCTCACCTCAAGATTTGTTCTCTTACCCACTGTAGTAAGTTAGCTTAAGGTATTTATGTCTCAATATTATGCTTTACATTTAGTTATTATATTAAATTCCTAAAAATCTTATGCCTACTATCAACCATTCCACCAGAATATCTGAACCAATTTACAATGCCTCCAGCAATCCATGCCCAGAATAACATTAATATTTATTATGAAACTTTTATTTCTTGACATACTGACTGGTGGCAGAGGCTACTTCATACAATTTTAATTTCTACTTTTTTACTTTCTAGTGAGGTTGAGTATTCTTTGATATATCTAGTAGTCACTTTAGATGGGTATGCTGTTGAGATAAATGAGCACCAGTAGCATGGTTTTGCATCCACTTAAAAGATTTAGTACAATCATATGCATATAACTATACTTAAACTTCTAAATCTTGCATATAGTTCAACCATAGGCCAATCATTTATTTGATGATCCACAGAGATGAATAAAGTTTAGTCTTAAAATAACAAAAAGAATATTACTAAAATTATAGCATTCTATTATCTAGCTTTTTTAAAAATAGTGATCCTCATATTATGCAACTTTTAAATCTGCATACAAAAATATTCCATGGACACATGTTTTCTACCTCTAATTTGAATATTCACCCTGTTCACTCATACTCTAGCCCAGCATTGTTCAATAGAAATATAAAGTGAACTATATAGGCAATTTTAAATTTTCTAGTAGCCACATTAAAAACAGGAAGAGTGACATGTAAAGTTAGTTTTAATGAAATAATTTACTTATCATTTAAACATATAATCAATATAATTAAGTTATTTAAATAAACATTTAACCAATATGTAAATTAATGATATATTTTTCTTCTTTGGTACTGAGTCTTTGGGATCCAGTGTGTATTTTACACTCATGGCACATATTTATTTGGACTAGCCACATTTTAAGTAATCAATAGCCATGTATGGTCAATCACATTGCATTGGACAGCACAGCTCTAGTCCTTTTTACCTCCAGCATCCATCCCTCATTATTTTCCTTTAAATTAGCTTTTTAGGGTATTAAAAAGATGTTTATTTGTCAGCAAGGACAGATGTTTCCAGGAAACTGTATGCTCTTATTAGTGCTGTTTGCACATTTTTATCTATTTTGACTCTTGGCAGGGTTTTGAGATAATAAATTTATAGCATCATTCTTCTTGCAGTATTATCTGCTCCAAAATCTATATACAAGCTTTGGCATTCTTTTAAGACCTCTCATTGAAAAACACTAAGTAATGGCCCTAGGTATGTCACTAACCAGCTGTGTATACTTGAGCAACCCAAGCTGCCTGTTTTCATCTATGTAGGAAATACATAGTCCAAGCAAAACAGTGAATTGGGCTTTAGTTCCTAAGATCCTTTCAGGGATCATTGCTGACGATAAGCTAGGTGGCCCTGAGAAAGTCACTGAAGTTCTCATTTTCCTCATCTATCAAAAGGAGATGATACTAACCTATTAAAGGTGATGTTAGAACAGAAGTATATATGTTTACTCAGTATTGGACACTCAGTTGCATTTATCATTTATGAATTATTGCCTGCAAATTTCTTCATCTGCAAAGTGAGTGTTGGATTTGAACTAGAATGCTCTCCAAGATCCTTTCCAATTAAAACATTAAATAATTTAGTAAAATTTATGGAAACAATAGCATGTGGATGATAGAAGTTAATCTAAAAAAAAACTAAAAAGCTTCTGCATACCAAAAGAAATAATCAGCACAATAAACAACAACCTACAGAATGGGAGAAAATATTTTCAATCTATATATCTAAAAGAAGGCTGACATCCAGAATATATAAAGAATGCAAACAGAGCTCAACAAGAAAAAGAAAACCCATTAAAAAGTGGGCAAAGGACATGAACAGGCATATCTAAAAAGAAAACATACTAACAGGTAACAAATATATGAAAAAATGCTCAATATCACTAATCAACAGAGAAATGCAAATTAAAACCATAATGATATAACATCTCACATCAGTCAGCATGACTTCTATTAAAAAAATTAAAAAAACAACAGATGTTGGTGAGGATGCAGAGAAAGGGGAATTCTTATACATTGGTGAAATGTAAATTAGTACAACCTTTATGGAAGACACTATGGAGATTT